>NC_000006.12:71095230-71398261 GCF_000001405.40 Homo sapiens | reverse complement strand
GTGCTGGTATTACAGGTATGAGCCACTGCACCCGGCCGATTTTTCTTTCTTTCTTATGAAGAATGAGTAATCTGTAACTCAGTTTTATATATTACTTTAGGGCTAATGTGTGTAAGTCCTATACTGCCCCTCTTGTAGAGCTTATTCTAAAGGGGTCTTTGTAATCTGATGTATGCCCCACCTACTGCTGTCCCCCAACACTGACCACTGACTTCCAATTGTTCAGACAACCTTGTTCTTTTCCTTCGTATCTCAAAATCTTTGCCTCATCTCTTCCCTCTGCATAGATTGAGTGCTCTTATTTTATTCACCTCTACCCCCAAACACATATACCCATACATACGCATACACATACATGCACATTAATACTTTAGGTCTCAATCCAATTTTCATTTCCTCAGGGGAATAATTCCCTCATTCCCTTGTCTTCATCCTATGGGCTCCTTCTTTGTCCTGAGACAGAAGTCATGAGGAGGAGCCAACCATGTGCAATTTTGGGGAAAAAACATTCAGGCAGAGGCAACAGCAAGTGCAGATGACCAGAGGTATCAGATCAAGTAAAAGTTATGAAGTATTCTGGTACAAAATCAGCAAAACAGAGTCAGAGGTAAGCAAAGGCCAGGTATTGTAAAGCCTTGTAGGTCATAGTGACGTTTGAAATTTACTAGTAGGCATTAGACTAGTATTTGTTATTATGAAATGTTCTTTAAATTTTGAATTTAGTTTAGTTAAATAATAGTACCTCTATCATTGTGACTGACCCTACCAGAATGTTAGTAACATTTAAAAAATAAAAAGGTCTCCAGCCTGGGCAACAGAGTGAGACCCTCTCTCAAAATAAATAAATAAACAAATAAAAGGGTGAACAACAGCTTACTTCAATAAATATTGAATGCCTGTTTGTATAAAGAATGGTGTTAGATGCTGAAAGATGCAAAGTTGAAAAAACCTTGATCCCTGTGGTTACACGTAAGAGTGCAAATATGATGGTATGTGGACCAGAGCCCCAACACTACCTGAAATCAGCTACCCCTCTCTGAAAAAGTTCCACAGGAAATAGATGCTAAGGAGCGGAAAAGAAAACAGAATAACATCTTATTACTAAGTAGGACATCTGCTCCAAGCCCACTGTAGAATGCTAATGAGCCACACTGGAATTATTAATTTCACACTCCAGTAACCTAGAGCCCTATATTGGACAGTTCTTTTTATGACATATGTTGAAGAAGAAAGATTATCTGAGAAGATGGAAGAGAAGCAAAAGTTGGGACCTGTTCCAGAACACACCTTCCTCCTTGCTTTTGGGAGGAAGAACGTCCCCATGGAAGTCTGTGCAAATGGCGTAACGACCATGCCTACATGTCCTTGAACCTTCAGCTCAGTGCACTGGCCAAGAAAATGTCTGTAAACCTAACCCATCATAGCAGTACTCCTCAGTGTGTGTATTTGGGATACGGGTGGAGAGTGCAGAAGGGGTAGGAAGAGGGAGGAGGGCAAGGAAGGGTACTAATATGCACCTTACTCCCTCTGGATGCCAATACTTGTCTTCAGGCAACTTTTCTTGAGGTGGGGTAGAAGATGTATGTGTGAAATCAGTAGTAATGGTGTATGATGTCCTAAGTAGTGCTAGTAATAATGAAACTCTGAATGGCATTTTTTGAGTGTATGCTATCTGCCAGGAACTGTTCTAGGTGCTTTACTTGTGTTAGTCATAATTTAATCCTCACAATAGCTCTGTGAGGTAGGTGCCTTCGTAACTTTACATGTACGGAAACTGAGGCATAGAAAAGCCAAATGACTTGCTCAAGGTTACTCAGTAAGTGGCAGAGAATCTAAAGTAAAGAATAAGGTGCTGAAGATCACAAAAGAAAGAACACTAAGCTAGAAAAGTTGTGGAAGGCATTTGAGCTATACTTTCCTCAGGTTGAAAACATGAAGATATACAAAGTATGTTTGGATAGAAATGTTTGAGTGCAAGGAGGGTGTGTGCCATAGAGATTGCCTGTGCTGGCTAGATTGCTGCCTGATTGGCCCCGCAGCAGGTAGCAGCAAGCCTGGAAGCAATACAGTCAGAAACTGCTGAGAGATTGTGGAGGTTTTGAAAATGTAGTATAAAAATATCCCTGTAAGCTTATGGCAAGCTACACTTTTAAATAGCGTTGAATTATAGGTTAAAGTTATTATGCAGACATGTTTTGCTTCCCTTGAAAGCTGGAAAGCAAGGGACAGCTCTCACTGCATCTGTAAATAGGCTGCTGTCTGTTTTTCTTTCTTTTTGTGGTTGTAAAGAATCATTCATGCCAGCGTAATGAGCTTCAGCAGCTGTTAAATGAAATTATATATTCTGTTCAACTAGGGCCTTCTAATGCTGCCATTGTCTCCTGGCCATCCTGGTGTCTTCTCTAGTGCTGAGATACTTCTAAATCACAATGGCCTGAGTTGTTGTTAGTCCAGGAGATTCTGAGGTTTGGATCAGACTGGGCCTGCAGAGTGAGAAGCTATTTTGGCAAAGATAGCCATAAAGGGATGTTATTTTTCTATATCACAGCTGCCCTCGTCAGCAAGGACTATGAGGAATGCTAGAGGTAAACTATTCACAATTTTCTAAAAAGGTTTTTTAAAACAAAATTATTATTTATCAAGTTATATACAGCATGATGTTTTGTCTTCCAAGTAGAGAACTTAACCAAATTCATAGACAGTTAAGGCTGAGGGTGTTAAATGAGACTTGGCACTTCTCTTCCTTCGTGATGTTTCTTCGTTCCACACCTGTCATTCTTGGAGCTTTGTGGTCAGCTCTTGTAGTATAAGTTTGAAGATTTTTAAATCTCAATCTATTATTGCTCTAAATTCAGACCTGAACATTGAGTCTTTTAAAACTATTTCTCTGAGTTGATTGTTTTCCTCTAGTGCACTCTAAAAAATGTCAGCTCCCCATGCACCACCAAGAAATCACTCCGCATTCTGGTGCCCCCAGGCCCCACTCTGGGTCTCTGGTGTGCAGGAGGCTGACCTCTCCTGGGCTATGCTCTGTGGGTTCTGCCCCTTTCGATGGTGGTGGGTGGGGTTATATCAAGGCACTTTTTGGTGGAAAGGAAGTAATCCTGTTTGGGACTAACTGCACAAGTTTCATTGCCTTGGAGTTAGGAAACTCTGTGCTTTTTTATGGACAGAATTCCCCTCTTTCCAAACACTTAATTCTCTCTCCTCCTCCATTGAAAGAAGGTTTAGATTTTTCCACAAACATTTCTGCCATATATTTATGAAAGGAAAACAAAATATTTGCTAGGCATTATTTGAATATGTACCAGTTAAAAAAAGAGGTCTGTGGCTTTTGGGTTACCAAACATAACTACTAAAAGGCAAATCCTGGTGAAGTGTTAATTTAACCAATTAAATTATATTTAAGAGTCTAAACATAAGGGAACCAGAGAATAAGCACAGGAAACATATTTGTATGAGTAGATATGTACAGATATAAATTCAGTTTTATATATTTTCTATTTCTTTACATCCCTGATTTCTATATGGACCTTCTGTAGATGGCTAGTTTGTTATTTATAAATTTGAGCTGTTTGCACAGTAGATGTTACTTTAATTGTGTTATTCTAATTATCTATTTATCTATATATCTAATTATACATCTATCTGCTTTTAAAACTATAGCAATATATGCATGCTTTTATAATCTCTTCACTTTTATATCTGACTTTTGAAGAGGAAGTTAATTTTGATGAACAGTGATGAGGAAAATATCCTTGAAGACTAAAACACTGCAATAAAAAGAGAAAACCATGAGAGGTTTCCATGTCTTGGTCTCTGTTTATATTACTAAAGAGATGTTAAAAATATCATTTGGGGACTATCTTATATTCTGTAACTAGAGCATAACTATCTGCTGACACATAGGCCACTTCCGAAATATTGCTTAATAACACATTTTCAAATACCCTGGTGCCATCTCAGGCAAATTAATCTCTGAACTAACAAGAGTCTTTACTGTGCTGCACAGATCTTCTCAGAGATATGTAATAAATGGTATGTATTCAAGGACTGCTGCAGTAATAGTATTTATGTAGCTTGGCTAGAAACATTTGCTCTCTTAACAGTGGGCATTTAAGATGAAGACTGTCCCTGGCATTGTGCAGCACAGTAGGAACATTGGCCTGCTGACTAAACAAATATGATTGCCAAAGTGAATTATTAAATTCCAACTGGCCTCACTTGCTAGAGAATTTCACTCCTTTTTCTCCCACACAGCTTCCTACTTTTTATTAAAGGAACAGTTTTCAGCTCTTGCAAATAATTGCAGTATTTTGCTAGTCATTACTACAGCAGTTTCCCACTGTTTATATTTTAAAACTAGCACTTGGATGAGTCCTGTTGAAGCAGAACAAATAACTGTGTGTGCATCTGTGTAAATATTTATCGAAATTTGCTTTATTAAAAGTCCCAGTGAACTTTTGTTCTAACTGCTATACCTTGTGTCACTTCTGACACAGTCACATCATCAAGCTACTGTTACTTTACAAAACATGGGTGACTTCATTTCAGTATTTCCTTCAGAGGACTTATTTGGGAGACTCCCTTCCAATAGAGGAAGTGGGTTGATGAGTGCTGGTGTTCTCATTCCAGATCCTTCACATCTCTGGAAAGCTGCATCCTTTGTAGAAAATAGATCTGTATGTGTGCCAAAGTATAACCCTGATGTTCATCAGGGCAGTGGGAGGAGGTCATATATTCCTTGTCTGTTTGAACAGTGATCCTCCCATTTGGCAGGACTTTGAGAGGAAGTATTTAACAATGGGATTTTATAAAATTTAATGTAGTAAAGACTGTTTTTATATTTGAATGGATCTAAGGAAGTTTTCTTTTTCTCCCTCCGATAAGTGGGGGGTGTTTAAGGGTAATGGTGTCTACGAATTTATTGGGAGGATTTGGCTGTTTTATTGGACCTTGTGGAATAATTTGCTTTCATTTTATCATTTCCATGAAAGGTAGTCCTCAGAAGAAAAAAATGTGGTCTCTTAACTTCATACCAATCTTAAATGTTTTGCTTAAGGGGAATTAGTGAGGAAATAACAGTCTCAGGAAGGTTGAAAACTGTGATTTTACTCAACAAATATTGCTCTTTTAATCTCTCCAGCCATGCCAGAAACTATGAAGTTATTTTCTTTCACACATGCACTGTAAGACCTGGTATTTTAAAAAGCTTTAAATATAAGTAGCTTTATCTTGAAAATAAAAATTGTACATAGTAGGGGAAAAGATGTTCTTATCATCATCCCTTGCTTCCAGCCACATGATGTCTCCAGTGGAGCTGCTGACGACACAAATTTCCCTAAGTCTAGCACACCCAGATAGTGTCAAATGGTTTGTTAGCAGTTACTGCAGAAAGTTAGAGGACATCTGAGGAACAAAGGTAAATCCCTTTTCTCCAAGAACTACTAGGTTTATAGGTCTAGAATGAAAGAAAGGTTTAGGTCTTCATTAGCCAGTGACCCAGGCCATCATAACACAGAGCAAAAGTTACCTCTCTGTGTTTGAAGTGTTTGAGTGTCTGCTGGGAAACATAAGAAGGAAAAAATAATACCACCAGTGTACTTTTATTATATACTTTATTTAGACTTTATTAATTTCTAGTCTTTAAAACAGTAACTTTAAGGAGATTTACTTGGTATAGGATCATCATAACATCATAAATTCTTTCTCTTGGTAGGAGCATTAAGTTACTTGGTCCACATCCTTATCAAACAGTAGCCCCACCAATTGGTCATGCAGAAGATGTTTGGATATTTTCTGAGTCATATCATTACTGACATCATATTTTACGTATATAAAATTCATCCATTCACTTGATATTTTTTGAGCCCTTACCCACATAAATATATGGCAAATAACAATGCAGTCTCTTATTTCAAGGAGTTGATAAGTTACAAGAAGATAAAAATGGAGACAGTGATTGCATGAGAGAACCTGTAGTAGAGGTGCTGTTGAGAGTTTTAGAAGGGGTGGACGGAGAAGGTCTTTTGAGCTTAGTGTGAAAATCAGTTCAAAAAGAAAAATTTGAACATACTGAAACACAGCAGATCCTGGGCAAATGTATCAATGGAGCAGACAACCCAGAAAGCTAAAGAGCTTGTGCAGAGGATGGAAGTGTGGAGAGTGGAGCCCTCAGGAAGAGCTAGTGGAATATGCTGCCCAAGTCAGTGTGAGAAGACAACCATGGAAAGAATCTGTGACTATGGGGGAATAGGACATCTAAAGGTGGGCAGAGGAAGATGCTGCAAAGAGGCATCAAGGAGGGTGGCTCAAAGGAGCCTGCAGAGGAGGAGGAAGAGGAAAATGAGGCTGGAAATGTGAAGGGAGAAAGACCACAGTCTCAACAGCTGTGAAGACCAAGGAATTAGCCTAGAACAGAAGAAGAGGTGTCTTTCCTGTGAAGAAGAAAGGATGGGTGAATGTTAGAATAGATTTCATCTGGGAAGCAGTAATGTAGAGGACAGAATGTACTTCATGAAGTAGGAAGTAAAGTAGGTCACACCTGAAGGGGATGAAAATAAGGATGAGGTGGAGGTTTGGAAAGGCTGCTGCAAGCATTTAGCAAAAACAAAAACACGTCGGCTGTGGAAGAGACTCTGTGCTTCACTGAAGGCCAACTGAGATTAAAGGCCACAAATTTGGGGTGGCACGCATCCACTTGGTGGCATGATTTTTTTTCTAGCGTTACAAGTTCAAACATAGGTACAAATAAGGGAAAATATAGTGCACTGGAGACCCCACCTGAAAAGGAAATGTGCCATTGTTGGGTATCTAGTGTACCATAGCTGTAAAGAATGACATGATGCTGGTATTTTGGTAAAGTATACAAATTATACACATGCCTTATCTAGAAGCAGCAGCAGCTCTTCCCTCCCCCGCTGTCCCCACTACATCCTCCCATCAGCACTCCAAAGTCTTTGGTTGTGCCATGACCTCAGAGTAATCAAAGCCCACAAATCTGGCTTGGCTCTGTAGTTTGTTACAGGATATCTCATCTCTCTGACCTCTTAGGCTCATTTCCTTCTTTTCTTAGGCTTTACAGATTGACCTGTACACTTCAATGCTTAACTATATACAGCAGTGCCTGATTTATTTGACCCCATTCAGGAATGAGCTTATCCCCACAATTAAATTTTTCAGATACATGAATTATATTTCATTTATAACTAAAACGACTAACCAAACCAAAAAGACAATTTCTAAAATGTGTATTTCTATTACTTGGTTTCTCTAAAGAGAGTAATGGACCTTATTTACAGCAGATTATTAATGACTTAAGGCCATGATTCCAAACATCAGTTAATGGGCTACACCTGTGGAGTATAATGAACCCCCTCTGGTTTTTTTTTTTTTTTTTTTTTTTTTTTTTGGTGGTGGGGGTTGGGCTTTGGGAATTCTGAAGGCTCATTGCCTTGATAGTTGAGACTGTCAAATTGTGTCTTTTATTACGTTGTTTTGTAATTGCTAATCTTCCTATGACTAAATAGTACCTTAAAAGCAAGGATTATGCCTGATTCTTCTCTATTCCCCACTTTTCTGTTGGTGCTTAGAACAATGCCAGTAAAAGTTCCGTAAATATTTGGTTGATTTCTAAAGATAGCACAATTCTCTTAACGTTGGCTAAAACCACATTAGCTTTTTTTTGTTTTTTGTTTGTTTGTTTTTTTGGCAGACATCTGTGTTACTCAGGTTGGGCTTAGTGTCAGAACTCTTTTCTTTTTCACATGAATTGCTGTTTTGCCCCAATTGGTGCTTTTTTGGACTGTTACCTGAATTGAAGTAGGTATTTACATTTATCCCTAAGACTTCACAAAAGCTACCACTGTCACTTTTCCCCCCATAGGAAATTTCTTAGAAATGCTGCCTAATTAGGTTAATTTTAGCCCATTGTGCTAATCTGTCACAGGTTTTTTGGGGATCTTGATTCACTATTCCAAAATATGCACTGCCTTCTTTAATGTCAAATTTGGAAAACCTTATTTTCCTCTAGTTTAAGATGGTAATACAAATTAAAATATTGTATAGAAAATGTCCAAGGAAGGTCAGAGCTGTAAAGGCTGAATCTCAACGCTCTCCTCCAGGTTGATAATCTATAGATCATCAGTTTCTTCAGTTCTTTTTTTTTTTTTTTTTTTTTTTTTGAGATGGCGTCTTCCTCTGTCACCCAGTCTGGAGTGCAATGGCACAATCTTGGCTCACTGCAACCTCCACCTCCTGGGTTCAAGCAATTCTCCTGCCTCAGCCTCCCGAGTAGCTGGGGTTACAGATGCGCGCCACCATGCCTGGCTAATTTTTTGTGGTTTTTTTAGTAGAGACGGGGTTTCACCATGCTGGCCAGGCTGATCTCGAACTCCTGATCTCATGATCTGCCCGCCTAGGCCTCCCAAAGTGCTGGGATTACAGGCGTGAGCCACCGCGCCCAGCCCATCAGTTCCTTTAGAGCATATTTGTGCAGCAGTTGTGAAATCTCCCTAACGGTATTCGGATTCAGACTAAATTTCCCCACGTGGACATCTTGAGAGACTTAGTCATATAGACTTTGCCTAATACATTTTCTCTGTCTGCCCATCTAGTGATCAGATAAAAAGGGGAGGAAATAAAAATTAACACTCTTGTTAAATAAATATCTGCGCACCTTCTCTCCAAGCTTCTCAGAAAAGATAACCGATAATTGCTGATCCAAGACAGAGGATTTCAGACATTTGTTTGTTCACTTAATAAATACGTATTAAGTTGTTACTCTGAACCAGACCCTATGCTGAGAGTTTAGGATACAGCTGTGAACTACTTAGATGTAGCCCCAGAAATGGCCGTTACTGCCTGGCTCTCAGAGAGGCTGAAGGGTGTGGTGAGAGTGTAAAGCAGCTAATTGTGAGTAAGTGGTAGACAGACTAGAGCTGGGAAATAGCATTTGCAGAAGTGGAAGCTTTTCAAGTCCCTGAGATTGTAAAATCAAATTCAATGTTGAAGTCTAGATGGATTGGGAAACTAACTAATTGAACTGTGTAACAGATAACCCCTAAGAAACTGAAGTTTGGAGTAGCTTGTTTCCTAAAACATTTAGTACTAATAGACTTTTCAGGCCAGTAATTCAAGCACATACTAGCGAGAGCTTGTTTCACGTAACTGGTTAACATGCTATAAAAATGGCACTGTCATCTGAAGTAAATGTCTTTGAACTTAGAACTGCCATATAAGAATTTGGACTCTTTGCCACAGAGTGAAGAGGAAGCCCAGGAGAACAATGAGTCAGTTTTTTTTTCTTTTTTTCTACATTGCCTACATTTAATATTCTTTTAGAGAGTTTTCAAAGAATTGCTTATGCAACACCTATCCCAGTATTTATACAGAGGGAGAAATTGATCATTTTCAGAAAGTCCTTTATTTAGGTATGTACTACACCTGGGCTGACTCTTATACTGATTTCTAAGTTAATTGTATCCTATGCACAGATCTCAAAAGGACTGTGGGTGAAGAAACAAGATCATCAGCCCAAGACCCCTATTCAACCCTAACTGGGTTCCTTTTCCTATTTTCCAGTGCAGCTTATCCTTGTACCTAAAGTTGAGTAGCCCCACTAGGAAAGATTGGCAGAAAGGAATAGTTAAGCACCCCTTGGAGCTTGCTGCCTGCAGGAGCCTACTTCTAGGTACTCAGCTTCCCTTCCACTCTCTAGGGATCCTGTAGACCACAGTGTTTGTGCTCAACTGCAGAAGCTTCATGTGAGAAAAAAGTTTCCTTTTCTCCACTGACATATTCTTCCACTTTTTCTTTATATAATTTCCTGCTGGTCTCTTTAATCCCCAGGCTTCTTTCAAACTCCTGTTTCTCTATATAGTAGCTTCCTGTACAAATGTATGTCACATTTATATGTGGAAACTTGCCTAAATAAAATTAGGCAGATGTGTGATGCCAGATATACACATATGACTCACCCCGCCCCTCCCCTTGCTTCATTTAGTTTCTGGTCAAATACCACTTTACTAAGAAAGGCCTTACCTGACCACCACCTCCACCTAAAATAGCTCTCCTTCAAATGGATCATTTGGCTTACTGCACTTCCCCTTGCAGCAGTTGTCACCACCTGTGAAATTATATAATATCTTAATTAATTGTATTTGACTCCATGAATGCCAGGATATCAGGGACTCACTGCTGAGTCTCTATAGCCTAGAACAGTGCTGGTACATAGCCCTTAAATTCTTTTACACAAAGAAGAACCTATTAAATTTTGTCAAATAAGAAACTTGAGGTTTATCTTAATGACAGAGTTGCTATTATCACCACCATCTGTTTTAAAGTTGAGTATACTAAAATTCATAGCCTACTCAAGGTCACACAAGTAGTAAGTGGAGCCAAGCTTCAAACATAGATCTCCTGACTCCATTCATATGACCCTATAAACTGTCTCAAAACAAAAAGATAAATTAATATAAATATTTATTGAATATGTCTTTGTAGAGAAAGCATAATAAGCATAAAGGGCAATGCGTTAACCTTTATCACAAGCAACCCTATTGGAATGTGTCAACTTATCAGAATGAATCAGGCCAGAATATCAAGTATAAATGAAGCCTGTAGTTAACTGAAAGTTGCATATCAATCAGGCACTCCAGTTTCTCTCCTCAAACTCTGAATATTCAATGAATAAGATAAAGAAATGGCTAATTTGATTTTACCTTTCATTTTTTTGACCTAATTCTAAGGTGACTACTCACTCCTCAAGATTTAACTAATGTTGCTTTATTTTTATCCCTCTGGGGAGACAGAAGAGATGATTGGGAAACACATGTTTGAAGTTTGTAAGTTCTGCTGCTTTCAACCCCACAGATGTCTCTTACTGCCCACTTGGGCCCTGGTGATTAAGCAACTAGATTTGGAGCCAGTCAGGCTTTTGTTTAGACATTTTAACTTTTTCTTGCTTTCCTTGCAAACTCCTCAGCCTTCAGACTGGTTGGAAAGTAAATGTACAATCTTACATAAATTTTCAGGTAATAGCATTTCAGCTTTTTCCCCAAGATTTTTTGCTTGGGAGGAGACAGATTAGACTGGATTCGGAGTCTTGATTTTGCAAAGGTAACAAAAGACATGTTTTTTTATAAGACTTTTCATCATAAGTTTATTTTATTCAACAGAAGCAAAATCTAATATAATGGAAAAAATAAAGATCTGTGATAAATCTGATCTGTGTGGATAAACACAATTAGAAAGACTTAAAGATTAAGTATTGAAACAAACTACCAAAATATTTTAATACTGATTTGTAAAAATTTCAGTACATTTTTCTTCTTTGCTTAATTCTACTGGGTCCTGTTTTTCATCAAAACATTCTATCATGTTAGTATACAATAGCCAAAAAAAAAAAAAACTGCATAAGGGAACCACCCTCAGTGCTGCTGAAAAGAAATCATTGTCAGAAGTTGTATTAGAATATAAAGAGTCTCTTATTCAGGTTTCCCTGAATATAATCAGCTACCTGAGAAACTTTTACATTTTTGCTCCTGTTTTAAAAGCAAAGTCAGTTATTGTGTGGCAAGCCAACATCTTTGGTTTGATCTACTTAAAAAGAGCATTACATCAATTATCTAAGTCTCATCATTGTGAGACTAGGTGCTTTCCTCTCCTTTGTCGTAAAAATTGTTGAAACATTGGGAAAACCATAATAAAAATTCGCCCACAAAAATGATTCACAATCTTACTATTCAAAGCCAAGTATTTTGGTTTTTACCTGTTACCTCCCAGTACCTGTCCATTTTTGTGCAAATGTAATCATGTGGGTATGCTGAAAGTAGTAGTTTGTGCTTTTTAAAAAAACGTATACTATACATAGACATCATATTAATCACTTAAATGACTGTATTATATCCACATACCACGTTGTATCAAATTACTGTTAAAATTGTTTTCATTTTGATGACTAATACTTCCATATAGCATTTTGGTTTCTATCACTTTATTTCCTTATGATAAATTACCTTAAGCAATGTCACCAAATCAAAAGCAGTGAAGCTAATAAAATTCCATTTACTGCAGCCGTGCCTACACTGTCTATATTATATATTAAATGTTGCTAATGTAGTAGTTGCAAAATGCTAACAAAAAATTCATCGGCTTGAATTTTTAATTACAAAAAAGTAGTTACCTCTATATTTTATTTGAATTTCTTCTTCAGAGATATATCACATAGCCCTGGAAGGGAAGCAGAGATTCTTGATTTCATTTTTGCATATTCAAATGTTGATAGACAAGGATTGATAAAGACATTGCATGATCCCCAGAGAATTAACTTGAAATCCTATATAATTCCCCATGAAGTCATAAGAGGCTGTGGAATAGTCAGATACATCTGAGCCTTGCCTACTTTTAAAATATCAATCAATGTTAATATCAAGCTTTTAGAACCAAAATGTACTTCCTTTCATTTATACTTTCTCTATGTTGTGCATGTTTACATAGATGCTGGAAAAAGTAAATCTGAGTTTAGATCTAACTCTTGGGTGAGTTTGAGCAAGTTTAAGTGTCAGCTTCCTCTTCTGTGTGGAGTTATTTGCAGTGTTAGGATAATTAGCACTTTGCACAGTGCTTGGAACATGGAAAGCACTGAAAAATGTTAGCTATTAATATTATGAAAGCCTGATTAATCATTAATCCAGAACTGTTTTAGCATGTGGTTTATTCAGGTAATTCAATGGAAGAACTATTTTTACATTTTAATTAGTACATTTTCTTTTTCTAACTATTTGGAGAATTTATAATATTCAGTTTTAACAGTAACTGATGGAATTACAGCTGTAAACATGTTGTACCAGCTGTGTTTTCTGAAGCAAATCTAAGTGATAAAAGCATGTTATCATCACCAAGTACATATAATCCTTACCCACATGGAGGAGTGTGCAGTTGGTAGTATAATGTGGTAAACATGATTTTTGCCCATTATGACCTTGTAAACCTATAAGGCAACACAATGACCAAGATAGAGACAGTTGCTGTTTCACAAGTCGACAATGGATAATTGTAGGAGACTCCACTTTTAATGAGAAGCAAACTATCATAATGGAAAATAGCCAGATAGATTAAAGCTTAAGCCATTGAGGTTGAATGGTGTACCTCTTATGGATAGCATATAGTTGTGTCTAGCTTTTATATACAGCTTGGCCCCAACAGGACTTTTCATTAGAGTGTTTAGTCCACTTACATTTACTGTAATTAGTGATCTAGCTGAATTTAGTTCTGCCACTTTACTGTTTGTTTTCTATTTTTCTCATATATTGCTTGTTCCTCAGTCCTTCTTTTCCTGATTTCTTTTACGTTAAATGTTTATTTTACCATTTTAATTCTGTTGTCTTTTTAAAGCTACATTTCTTTGCATTCTTCTTATAATGATTACTATAGGGACTATAATATGTGTATTTAATTTATCACAATGAAAACTATTTGCGAATTAACCTTGGTTTTACATATATAAATCTTGCAACACTAAAGTTCTGCTTACCTCCCGTCTATCCTTTGGTGCTATAGTTGCCATATACATTACATCTATATTTTTTAAAACACAAAATGCAGTGCTACAAGTTTGTCTTTAAGAAACTAAGAACAGTATGAAAAGGATGTTAAAATATCTGGGTAGTTATTAAAATAAATTATCTCTAAAATGAATTTTGTAATCTATTATTATAATTTTACTAGTTAGAATTTTCAATTGTTATTTTTTATATCTTTAAGAGGTGAACCGAGTATAGAGTATAGAACAAGAAAAATGTCAGGCAGTCAGCTGGACTCACTTGTTCCCTGGACGAATCTGTTTCAGTTAAATGACAGATCACCATAATCATATGGACCTTCAGGTTTTCCCACCAAAAGGCCAAACTGAAAATACGAAATTCCTGACCCATAAATATCTTACTGCATTGTAAATCATTTAGCATTCATTAATCACTATTTACAATTTTTTAAAAAAAATAAGGCTTGTGCCTTTTCTCATCTGTTTAGAATATTCAGTTTAGTAACTGTATGGCAACGTAAGTTACTGACAGGGAAAGCCTTGTAAGACAGTACTCATTTACTTAAAATGTGGAGTTTTTGCATTTCTTTACAATTGAATGGAAAAATTACCAGCAGTGCTTTGGGTTATAGTGACACCTGGTGGTACGGTTTGAGGTTTTAAAAAAATTCTTTTTAAATTTGTTACTCTTTTTTTTTTCTAGACCATTTTTTGTAAGGAATCATTTTATCAACTAGGATGACAAGAGGCCTCTCCCATCCTGGTTGCACATCACTTTCTATAACAGAGAGACATGGGCCAGAAGCCCTGATGGAGAAAGCAGCCAATGTCCCTTACATTTCCACCTTTGGCTTGAAAAAAAGATCTGTGCACTAAATACAGGGAAAAAAAAATGAAGTTAGGCTGGAAGAAGAAAGACATTGTTACATGGTAAAATTGGAAAGATTCATACCAACAGTACGGGATAAAGCAGGGGTCCCCAGCCCCTGGGCCACGGAACTGGACTGGTCCAGGGCCTGTTAGGAACTGGACTGCCCAGCAGGAGGTGAGTGGTAGGAAATGAGCATCACAGCCTGAGCTCCGCCTCCTGTCAGATCAGTGGTGGCATTACATTCTCATAGGAGTGCCAACCCTATTGTGAACTGCACATGTGAGGGATCTAGGTTGCCCGCTCCTTAAGAGAATGTAACTAATGCTTGATGATCTGAGGTGGAATAGTTTCATCCTGAAACCATACCCCCACTAAGCCCCCGCATCCATGAAAAAATTGTTTTCCATGAAACTGGTCCCTGCTGCCAAAAAGGCTGGGGACCGGTGGTATAAAGTACGTCTGAGAATGTATACTTACTGAGAATGTACCTTTATACCCTGTAAGATACCATAGTGTTTTATCATTTTATAAAAGCTGAGGCTCAGAGAGGGTTCTAAGAGTACTCAAGGTCACAAAGTTAATCAACTGTCTAGGGAAGCTAGAATTTCAAGTGAACCCTATCTCTAATTTGGCTCAAGAAAGAATTTAAATTTAAATGACCAGATGTAATTTTCAAATTTGTATACATGTTACATGAGTACATTCTCCTTTTAAAATATTGCCAATAAGGTTGAAATCATCTTTGATACCCAAGTTCTAGTCCCATCCCCTCCTCTTTTCTCCAGTGGTGACTCACACTATCGTTTCCAGATATCCCTCCCTGTCACACACGCGTGCACATATACTGTGTTAAATACAGAGATGGGTGGTCGCTTACCTGTGTGTTTGATACATAATAGTATTTGGTCAAAGTAACTTTTATACTGGTAAAACCTCTTCATTGGAACAATAATGCCTCATCAAAATCTGAACTCATACCACTAAGTATTATTATAATAATTTGGTATTCTATAGCAGTAACAGTTATTTCCAAAGACATTCCAATATGCCTGTAGTAAATATTCTAGATTTAATTAAAATATTGGCAGGACTACCGTTTTCCAGATTAAATTAAAAAGCAATTATTAGCATTGCAGATTAAGTTTTTAAATGAATATTTCAATTCAGCGACACTGGCTAGAATATCTTCTGTTTTGTCACAGTGTCACAGATCCCATCACCATCACTGTAAACTAAAATTAGCTAACTTTTAAACATAAGACCCACAATTATTTATTATAGCCCAAAATATCAGAATGTTCTTTAGCTTATAACCTTGCTCATAGAATATACTGGGGAAAGGACTCCAAAAATTGTCTATAAGAAAATCTTGGTTTTTTTTTTTTAAATCACTTTCATTGGAAATCCAACTGTAAACTCATATTGTTAAAAAAGTTCCCATAATGTTAATTTTTTTGGAAATTTGCACACTTAAAAGGAAACTAATATTGATAGGCAGCTGAAAAATATATATATTCACATATATATTTTGAATATATATTCATATATTTTCATATATATGAATGTCATATATTTTCATATATATGAATGTCATATATTTTCATATATATGAATGTCATATATATTTTCATATATATGAATGTCATATATATTTTCATATATATGAATGTCATATATATTTTCATATATATGAATGTCATATATATTTTCATATATATGAATGTCATATATATTTTCATATATATGAATGTCATATATATTTTCATATATATGAATGTCATATATATTTTCATATATATGAATGTCATATATATTTTCATATATATGAATGTCATATATATTTTCATATATATGAATGTCATATATATTTTCATATATATGAATGTCATATATATTTTCATATATATGAATGTCATATATATTTTCATATATATGAATGTCATATATATTTTCATATATATGAATGTCATATATATTTTCATATCTATTTCATATATATATGAAATTCATATCTATTTCATATATATATGAAATTCATATCTATTTCATAAATATATGAAATTCATATCTATTTCATATATATATGAAATTCATATCTATTTCATATATATATGAAATTCATATCTATTTCATAAATATATGAAATTCATATCTATTTCATATATATATGAAATTCATATCTATTTCATATATATATGAAATTCATATCTATTTCATATATATATGAAATTCATATCTATTTTCATATATATTTCATATATATTTTCCATATATATATATATAAATTCATCAGAACAAGGTTGTCTTTTTTTCTTCTGACCACACCAATGTAATGAAACAGTAAGTGTGAAAAAGAAAAAAAAAAATACAGGAATCAAGAGCCCAAAGAATTTTTAAGGAAACCATGATTGAATAGGTTATATCAGACTGACTGGTCTCCTAACTTTGATTCTGCCCACACCATTCAATAGAAAGAGGACATGGAATTCCAGCTATTCCCTCCACTATAGAATTTACTACATTTTAAATTTAAACAGGTTAATTTAAGCTACAGTAATAATTTGAGACAGAATCTCATCAAGCACAGATTCAAAGTACCACACTTTGAGGTCAGAGTGGAGAGAGCTTTTCCCTTGGGATGAACATGAGAAGGTTAATTAAAGAGGAAGTGGACTTTCTCAGAGCAAAGGGTATTTTCATAAAACCATGGAATCTTTGAGTTGGCTAAATCTCCATAAATTTTATGAACATATTGTGTTCTTTTATCTACTGTAAAGTCACATTACTGTTGATTTTCCATATATTTTAACTGTAGTGAGTTATTCTATGCTGTAATTTTCCTTTAGGATCCAGGGTAAATAAAAGCAAACTAGTATAAGAACCTTTATAAGTTACTGTAAGTGAAGGAGGCTTAAAATAGGGTGTGTACTGTTACATTTTCATTATGATTTTCTCATAGTTTTTCCTTGGAAATTTCCATGTATTCCTTAAGGATGTGTTTGTCACATATGGGAGATTTGGATCTTGCTTTCAACTAGGGAATGATAATTTTCCATTAAATATCCATCCCATATACTAGGCAAGGTGAAAGCTGAATGGAAGATGAAATGGCAAATGTTAGACTAGGCAAGGGAAGGGAGCAGGTGGCAAAGTCGCTTGTGGAGATATGCCCAAAGAATATGATGCAAAGAAGCATCCTCACCAGGGAATTTTCCTTCCATCTCTAAAATCCACCAATGTAGGAGACCTGGAGCCTGACTTTAAGAATTAGTAAAGCCTTGGCAGGGTGCAGTGGCTCACACCTGTAATCCCAGCACTTTGGGAGGCCGAGGAGGGTGGATCACAAGGTCAGGAGATCAAGACCATCCTGGCTAACACGGTGAAACCCTGTCTCTACTAAAAATACAAAAAATTAGTCGGGCGTGTTGGCAGGCGTCTGTAGTCCCAGCTACTCGGGAGGCTGAGGCAGGAGAATGGCGTGAACCCGGGAGGCGGAGCTTGCAGTGAGCCGAGATTGCCCCACTGCACTCCAGCCTGGGCGACAGAGCGAGATTCCATCTCGAACAAAAAAAAAAAAGGAGTAAAGCCCATTACTGGGCAGGGCATGAGCTGTAGAACATCCTTGTATACAAGATACATTAAGCTTTAAATCTGGGAACAGTGTTTTTTCTCCAGTGAATCATTCATGGCTGTAAAGCTGCTACATTTTAATTTTAAAAATGTAAGTTTTTAAATTAAAAACTTTACATACTGTAAAGTTGCTACATTTTAATTTAAAAAATGAACATTGGGAGTTGGGAAAAGCCACTGTGTATCCTGAAAGTTGATGTGTAATACTGCAGAATATTTTTAAATCAATGGATAAGGTTTTTTGATACAGAATGTGACAGATTTGATCAAATATAATCTACATTTGAAATAAATGTATTTTCATTCAGAACTAAAAATGACCAAAGGCTAGTTTATTGGAGATTAGTTTTATGTGACTAAAATGCCTATTACATCAGAAGCCCTACTGAAGCAAAAGAGAGTGGCTTTCACGTTACAAAAGGAACTTTTCAGACTTGACTTTAAGAAGTTAAAATCATTTCATGTAGCTAAAATTATTTTAGTGACTATTTAATAAGGTGTGGTTCTTTCCATGTAGAACATTTTAAGCTCTTACATAATTATTCAGTATTGATACCCACATTTTATGACCATTTTCTTTCATTCTTGTCTATTTTTAAACTGTTTACATAGATTTCTTCTCTGCATTTACTGTGTATCCTGGTTTTTCTTCACTTGAAATCCATCATGAAAATAAAATTTTAAAATAAGGCTGCCTTCATAAAAGGTTAACTTTCCAGGAGTTAATGCCATCATTTAAGGAGAGATTGCTTTCTCTTCTTAGCTATGAGTTCCTTAGAAAAGTAAAACAGCCTAACCTTGAATTTTGGGGGAATAAAAACAAAGTTTTAGAAACTGGTAAATATTTTTTATTTAGAGATTTTTAAAACCTGAATAATCATCTTAACATTGTTAACCCATTGTCAGGTGGTAGATGGCATCATTCATTCATTCATTCATTCATTCATCAAACCTTCACTGAGAACCTCCTTTAGTACCAGACAAACCCTGGATACATGTTGTGAATTTCTTCTGATGAAATGAAGTTAAGTTAAACGAAACATGGTGTTTCTTCCCTAGTAGAGAGATGGATAGGTAAACAAATAATTGTAATAAAGTATCAGTTCTGTGATCTAGGCATATGCAATTATGTGACCTAGGCACAGTATAATGGTGGTAAAAGGAAAAATGAACAATTCCTCCTCAGGTTGGGGGAGGGGTGTGGGTGTTAGGGATGACGCTGACCAGAGAGGATTCACAAGAGAGAATACTTGATTTGGGATTTGAAGACTGTATGGGCACTTGCCAGGTAGAAGAGTAAGCAGAAGTGCAGAAACAGAATAAAGAACAGGTTTGTGTGATTTAGTTCTTCAAGTGTTTTCACCCTTTCAGTTGTGACAGAATTCAGTATTCAATGAGCATGGGGTCATAACTTTGCAGCCCAGCCCATTCAAGTTATCATTCTTAGGGCTCTTTCCTTCTCCACTTCTCTTCCTATTCTTTCCCTCCTGCATGAAAGGCCTTATGAAGCCCAAGCCAGGCTTGTGAATTACCCATGACTTCTCCATCTCCACAGTGCCTCTCCCCTCAGCTACTCACTCACTGAATTCTGCTGTTCTTCTTGTCTTTATAATTTCTCATATTCATTTTCTCTGTGTTCTTACTGCCTCTTCCCTAATTAAGGCTCCCATGCTCTCCCTTACACTACTGCAGTGATTCTTTTCCTGTTTTCCTTACCTGCCACCTTAAAGCTAGAGTAAATTCTCTAAAGTACTGACATGGTCATCCCACTTGCCTGCTTACTATCTTTCACTCGTACCCATCGTTTGGAGATAATGCCCAAACCCTTTAACCTGGCACATAAGGACTCCCATCTTTCCCTTGTGTCTCTCCCCTTACCCTTCACCCACATGCATCTTTGACTCCACCTCTGCTGAATTCTTAAAGGCCTCAGCATACATTACCTTTGTCTTTCTTTCTCTATTGGATGACTGTTCTTTCTGGTACACTTTAAGCTACACTATCTTCTTCACTGCCCACCCCTTCCAAATTCCCATTAGCACCATCTTCACCTAGCTAATTTTATTCAGGCTTCAAGACTCAGCCTGGCTATTAGCCAACTCAGAAGTGTCTTTTGACCCATCATAACACTTATAGTAATGGTGTATGTGTCTGTCTTGCAAATTAAGCTGTGTCCTTCTCGAAGGTAGGGATGATACCCTTCATTTCTCATCACCTAGAATTTAAAACATTGCTGATATATGGCAGGCAGTCACAATTGTTTGTTGAATGAATGAATGAATGAATGAAATGAGTAAGATCCTGTAACAGTTTGGAATTATATGCCACCTGGGTTTACAGTGTAGTCTCTTATCAGGTAGGTTTGTTCTGAGATGTATAGTAATGATGACTTTCTTCTTCGCCCAAGTATTTTGTGTACCTTAGACCAGTTTAGCAAATGAAGTCCAAGAACTATTTGAATAAGTCATTCTTAGAAAATAACTTTAGGAAGCAACTGACTCCATTCATGTGTATGCCTCTAATTGTAGGTTCACTTCTGTCCGAATATGAATTTTTAAAATAATTTTAGCATTATATTAGCAATTTGCAATATACCATTTTTATGCATGTAAAGTTGTATTCTAACATATTTACTTTTTGCTCATTTGATTAAATTTATTACTGTGTATCCCATCATTAAGGTAACTAATTTTCAGTAATTAAACTGTTGGTCTTCTGTTTAGCCATTATTCTCAGTTCTGTGCAGGAGTGAGCTGAAACAAAGTTGTATAGCCCAGAGAGTGAGAAGCTGCATTTCATGTCTCCCAACAGTCAGAAAGGGATTATGTACTGTTTAAGGAAGGAGTTTGGCGAATATTTTGAAACCCTTTTGGGAAAGCATAGAATATTGAAAATCCAAAATTAACCAAATCCGTGAGTGTGCAAGCTCAAAGCTAGAGACCTTAGGAATATCTTAGGATGTGCAAAACAGGAAGAAAACAAGAACTGAGCAGGCAGCACTAAGTAAGTGTCATATAGCCTCCCCACCCACCCTTCCAACCCTACTCCTAAAAGAGCCATAATTTAGTCCCAAGTATACTTTTCTGATCTTTTCCTGTGACATATTATGGTATCTTCAAATGGTACTGGGTTTCCTGAGGCTTGTGCTGCTGACTGCCAACCCCATCCTAGAGAGCACTGAGCGACAGATACTGTAAACATCCTACACTCTCAGCTGTGGAAAGTAAGAAAGCTGGGAGAAGGCTGTTTACTCTTTCTGCCTTGGAAGTCAACTAAAGAGAAATGGATTTTGAATATTTCTATGTCTTAGAATTGATCCTATCCCGTGTTTGTTTCTGAGGTCAACTGTAAAAGGAAAAAAGGTGAATTGACTAAGTCATCCAAAGAAATGTAAGATAATCTATAATATCAGTTATATTTGAACTGTTTCACTTAGTTTAAAAAGAAAAAAAAGATTACCAAATACCCAAGTGACAAAAGTTCTGGTTAACTTGTATGAGGCTACATTTTGTGGGTTGCTGCAGTCTGATCTGTAAAAGCAACACATTACCTATACGTTAAGCTAAACATTTCTCCTTTAACCTGAGAGCATTCCACACTGAAGTCTGCTTTTCTTGAAGCAAAAATTCTAGTGTCCTTGGACTTGCTATTTTATCAGGGATCAAAGGCACCTTGGAGCCCCATGCTTTAGGAATTGTAATGGCAAACAATAAGGTCTGCTCTTTAAAGCTAGAATATAGTTACACATTTCAGGAAAAAATAGAATTGTTGTTGGAGGACGGGAGAGGAAGGAAAATGTAGAGGTAAGGGATGGGATGCAAGAAGTTAATTTTAAGAAAAATCTACAGAACGAACTCATAAGTTCAGCCTTAACCAGAAAAACTCTTTCATGTAAATCGTTTAAATCAAAGGTCTATTAAACATCTAATCTAGAATGTAACTTACCTGAAATTTGAGTCCATTGCTGATTTATTTAAAATTATTATGAAATAAGCCTTCTTGTTAAAGAGAATATTTAAATAAGGCATATTTTTATATAACAAGCCCTTAAGAAGTTAAATAATTAACTTAATGCTTCTATTAAAAATTAAACAAATCTGAACAAAATTACTCTAGTCTTGGCATATCAGCATATATCAGTCATTTAAACTAAAAGACACTCTACTACTTTAGAAGTATTAGAGGAGCTTTTAATTTTACCTCCGCACTGACTGTAGAGCCTAATACAATAGGAGTAATTGTTTCATATGAGTTTATAGAAAAAAAGTTTAAATACAATGACTTTAGCATGTGATTTCAGGGAAGTATTTGAACAGGCTGGCCTTGAAGCAGTGGTAGACACTGTTGAAGTGCCAGCTTGATTGAGTCATTTACCTTTTTAGGTTTGCCTACAGGCTTAAGAAAACCCTCTTTGAAACAATGCTCTACAGTCTTCTCAAAGAAATAATTGTTATAGATGTTTGAAATTTTGCTTTCTGCTAGGAGAGGCAGATAATATGGGTAAGGGGAAAAGCAACTCTAAGCAGCAGAGAATGATGCATATGCTTTGCCATAGCATTTTATTATTCTGCCTAAATTAAAAGGGGGGACATTCAAATATTCCAGATCTAAATTTATGGTTAACTTTTAGTCATGAATGTAGGTGTTTCAAAGCTTATTGAAATACATGCTGAAATTCATTCATCATTCAAGAATTATTTATTGAGCATCTACTATGTGAACTTCTAGGCACAGGGGATATAGCAGAGAACAGAAACAAAGTCCTTTTTCTCATGGAACTTACAAGAAAATATATAATGTGTCAAAATATAAACATCTTGTGTATCTATGTAAAATATCTAATTTTATTCAATCTTTTTATTGCCTTGTCCTCCAAAACCAAGTGTATTTAAATATTCCAGAATATTTCTTTCATTGACTATGGAAAACTTTGATATAAAGCTATATAATTTTGGTTTTTGTTTAGTATTATTCTTCTAGATATGTTCTAGTTGTTAACTAGCCTGTTTTGTGACATGAGTAAGTAGGATTATTAAGCATGCTTGAGAAGTTATATATATATATTTATATATTTATATATTTATATATATTTATATATATTTATATATATATTTATATATATTTTTATATATATTTATATATATTTATATATATATTTATATATATTTATATATATTTATATATATATTTATATATATTTACATATATTTATATATTTACATATATTTATATATATTTATATATATTTATATATGTTTATATATATTTATATATGTATTTATATATATAAATATATATATGAGGGGGCTTCAAAATATTCATGGAAACATTGAGTTAAAAGCTACAAATAAAAAATATAAATTTTATTTCTCAGAGTAAGCTCCATCAGGGTCAAGACACTTTTGTAAGCAATGATACCAGACATTTATTCCATCCCTAAAGAACAGGGTCTTGGGAATTTCACCACATCAGTGCCATCTTTTTAACATTATTAACTGAAGAAAAATGAGTGCTCTGACAGATTTTTTTAAGATTAGGAAACAAAAGTCCAAATGAGCCAAATCAGGACAGTAAGGTGGATGCCTAGTGACATTCCACTGAAACTCTGGCAAAATTGCCCTTGTTTGATGAGAAGAATGAGCAGAAGCATTGTCATGGTGGAGAGGGAGTCTGGTATAGCTTTCCTGGACATTTTTCTGCTAAACCTTTGGCTAGCTTTCCCCAAACACTCTCATAATAAGTAGATGTTATCATTCTTTGGCCTTTCAGAAAGTTAACAAGCAAAAAGACTTAAGCATCCCAAAAAACTGTTGCCATGACCTTAGCTCTTGACTGCTTGGCTTTTCTTTGACTGCACCACATCCCCTTCTTGGTAGCCATTACTTTGATTGTGCTTTGTCTTCAGGATCATACCAGTAAAGCTGTGTTTCATCTCCTATCACAATCCTTCAAAGAAAAGCTTTAAGACCTTGATCTCACTTGTGTAAAATTTCCACTGAAAGCTCTGCTCTTGTCTGCAGCTCATCTGAGTGCAATGATTTTGGCACCTATAGAGTGGAAAGTTTGCTCAACTTTAATTTTGCAGTCAGAATTGTGTAAGCTGAACCAGTTGGAATGTCTGTGGCGTTGGCTATGGTTTGTACTGTTAATCATCAGTACTCTTCAATTAGGGCACAAACAAGATTTTTTTTTTCCTTGCAAATTGATGTAGTTTGTCTTCTATAGTGGGCTTCATCTTCAACATCATCTCATCTTTTCTTAAAATAAATTATTCATTTGTAAACTGCCAATTTCTTTGGGGCATTGCCCCCACTAACATTTTGTAAAGCAGCAATGATTTCCTGATTTTCCCACCCAAACTTCCCCATAAATTTGATGTTCTTGCTTTAATTTTAGCAGAATTGACATTGCTCTGATAAGGGCTCTTTTCAAACTGATTTCTTATCCTTTTTTGTGCCTCAAAATAGATCCTGTTCAGACATGTTACAAATTAGTACAAGTTTATTTTGATATAAGAAAAAATTGAAATCCATGTATAGTTTTTCCATAATATGTATTTTCCATGAACTTTTTGAAATTCTTCGTATTTGCTGAGATGATATTGCTAAGGAGTTATATAATATAAAAAGTTACATGTTTGTGTGTTTATATATGTTGCATATGTTATATATATTCAAATTATCATTGTATCTGATACAAGTAAACATATTAATTTGAACCTAACTCTATTCAAGTTTGTAACTCTCTAAATACTGGTAAGGATGATTTATCTTTATGTTATGTTTATATATTGGTTGCTAAGCAAACGCCATAAAGACTTTAAAAGAACAGATTACTTTTAAATGTAAACATCCATTTATATTTGAAAAAAGACATAAGCTTTAATTGACAAGCTTTGTAAGCCTAATTGTGTCATTAAAAACTCAGTAGAAATAAAGGTATCATATGTACTTTATTCATTTATGAATTTATAGTCTCCTTGTCTCTATTTGTTCGAATTAGTAATTCTTTATAATACCTAGTGGTGATATATTTCTATAAACTACTCTGGCTTAGATTTCTATAAATGTAAATATAATTCTGCTCTCTCTCTCTTTTTTTTTTTTTTTTTGAGACAGAGTCACGCTCTTGTCGCCCAGGCTGGAGTGCGATGGCGTGATCTCACCTCACTGCAACCTCCCCCTCCCGGCTTCAAGCAATTCTTCCGCCTCAGCCTCCCAAATAGCTGGGACTACAGGCGCCCGCCACCATGCCCGGCTAATTTTGGTATTTTTAGTAGAGACGGGGTTTCACCATGTTGGCCAGGCTGGTCTCAAACTCCTGACCTCAGATGATCCACCTGCCTTGGCCTCCCAAACTGCTGGGATTACAGCCATGAGCCACTGCTCCCGGCCTGCTGTCATCATTTTAAAATAGCAGAAAGCAGGTTATTAATTACAAAATTGGGTTTTAGGTGTTATTTTGGTTAACTTTATCATTGGAAAACTATATGGTTAATATATAAAAATCAGTTGTATATCTATATATCAGCAACAAACAAATAAAAATGAAAATTTTTAAAAGATACTTCTTATAATAACATTAAAAACTATCAAATGCCCAAGGGGAAATCTAACAGACGATGCATAAGACCTCCGCACTGGAAACTAAATATTATTGAGATAAATTATAGAAGACCTGAATAAATGGAGAGATAAACCATGTTCATAGAGAACAGGACTCAGTATTGTTAAGTGGCTAATTCTCCCCAAGTTGATCTGTAGATTCAGTACAGTCCCAATCAAAATGTAAGCAGGTGTATGTTTGGAAATTAATAAACTGATTCTAAAATTTAGAATTCAAACAGCAAAAGCTAGACAAGATAATCTTGAAAAAAAGATGGAGAAATTATGCTTCCACATATCAAGATCTGTTACAAAGCCATAGTAATGATGAGAGTGTGATATTGGCACAATGGCAGACAGATACACAACAGATAAATGATAAATAGAATAGACACACTATTATGATAAAGATGATACTGAAGTACACTGGAGACAGGATGGTCTATGGATCCTAATACGAAAGGTAAAACAAGGCTTCTAGGAAGTAATATATAGAATATCCTTATGACCTTGGAGTGGGCAAAATTCCCTTAAAAAACTCCCAACACAACACCAACCAGAAAGAGAAAAAACTGGTAATTTGGATTATAATACCAAGAACTTCTGTTCATCAAAAGACAACATTAAGAAAATGAAAAGGCAAAATATACCAGAGGAGGTATTAGCAACACATATAACAAACAACTTATATCCAGTATATATAAAGAATTCCTATAAATTAATTAGAAAACACAAGCAACCCAGTAGAAAAATGAGCAAAGATTTGAACAGATAATTCACCAGAGAGGATATGTAGATGATCAATTAACATAAAAAGTTGCTCAACCTTATTAGTCATCAAATAAGTGCAAATGAAATCACAGCTCAATGGCAAGACACAACTACTAGAATGGGTAAAATTAAAAAGACAAAAAAATCTGGTATTGGCAAGGAGGTGGAGTAACACTGCAGATGAAAGCATAAGTTGGTACAGCCACTTTAGAGAACTTCTTAGTGGTCTCTACTTACGCTGAACAGATCCATATCCTGTGACCCAGTTGCTGTTACCTACCTCACAGAAATTTGCACAGTGTTCTTCAGAAGAAATGAATAAGAATGTTCATAGCAGCACTATTTGTAATAGCCCCAAATCAGGAATTATCCAAATGCCAACAGTAGGATTCGTAAATTGTGAAATATTCGTACAACAGAATACTATCTAGCACTGAGAATGAATGATTTGCAACTTCTGATATAAGTGCATCTCACAAACATAAAGTTGGACAAAATAAACCAGACACTGAAGAGAACATACCGTATGTTTCTATTTACATTAATTTCAAAAACAGGCAAAACTATAGTTATCTATGGTGATACATATCTATGGTGACTCATGCACTTTTCTGATTGTATGTTATACTTTAATTAAAAGTTTCTAAAATTAAAAAAAAAAACGCTGTATTATCTGGTCTTAAATAAGGCAGGTAAAACTCTTATTCCAGCAGTCACTAAGAGAAACTTTATCCCAGATCATCTTTCTCTAAAAACATAGCAACAGCACATATCTTGAGGAACGTTCTCTGAAACTGGCATAAAAGATTACGCTATCCATAAGCAAAGAGACGTTTCAGCAAACATTCTCTTTTCTCCAAAATACTGCAGTGTATACTGTCTTCTAGAACATCACTTCCCTCAAAAGCTACCAGTCCACCTCATTTTCTGGCAAGTAACGAAATTACTGAAAGATGAGGAGAAAAAAGGCTGATGTTAAAGGGCATTCGGCTGTTGCCATGTTGCTGCATTGCCTCACTTACCCACGTTGTAAGAAAGAGGTCAAAACACGGTTAACTGGCTTACCCAGGGTTATATAGGCTCTCGGTAGAGCCGCAGGAGGACTGAAGGAGACACTGCCAGCTTCTGACTCTGATTCTTTAATCTTTTCTATAGTCAGGTAACCCAGGATTGGGACAGAAAAACATAAGCCCTCTACTATCATATTTGTTGAATGTAAGATTTCCTCAGAATCAAGAATATGAATAGATTATGCACTTACTGTTCATATTTTTAATTTCTAGAATGGCTATTATGATTAGTTTTTGCTTTTTCTTTGGACAAAAGAATTTTGTGGTGCTAAAAGTGTCTTTTAAAATTTCCTTTTATTATGGAGAAAAAAAAAAGCTTTGTCCGGACACCGGTGGCTCAAACCCCTAATCCCAGCACTTTGGGAGGCCAAGGCGGGAGGATTTCTTGAGCCCCGGAGTTCAGGACCAGCCTGGGCAACATAGTGAGACCTTGTCTCTACAAAAAATGAGAAATGAGGCAGGTGGATCTCTTGAGCCTGGGAGATCGAGGCTACAATGAGCTGTGATTGTGCCACTGCATTCCCACTTGGGTGACAGTGAGATCTTGCCCCCCCCAAAAAAAAGAAAGAAAGAAAAAGTTTCAACCAGCCTGAACTAAGAAACTTTAAAAATATTCAACCCAAACTCAAAAACCGTGATTCCTTCAGCAAGGCACGTATGCTAACAAAGTCCCCTTGAAGCGTCTCTTCTGGAGACAGTACAGTCCCACAGTAGTGTTTAGAAATGTGTGCAGTGTGCAGGCATTTTTGCTTGTCACAGTAACTGCAGAATGCCACTCCTATGAGGCTTGGAATAGTCTCATTCAACAAGAAATAGTTTTGAACAAAATAACAGTGCCCTCACCAGGATGAACATTCTTAAAGTTATCATTTACTTCTAGGAATATTTGAACTATACATACATTTATGTCTTCAGTTTAACACATCTCTGTAGTATACTAGTTTGCATGTCTGAGATAAATATGATGGTCTGGATGATCTTAACCACAATTAAAGAATAAAAAATTACCTTAAAACTGACTTTTTAAATGCCCTGTGACTTTAAAGTGTCTAGAAACATTCTGTAATTTTGAATTCATCAAAAGCTTTGTCATCAAAAAGCCAAGTATGGCTTTAAAATACTTCTTTTTGGCCCAGGGAGAAAAATACTTTTTATTTTAACCTCCAAGTTTCATCGAGTAGATTAGTTATTTCTGTAGTTTGGTAATGCCCATTATTTGAGAATCTGATAACATCCAGGACTTCACCATATAATTCAGTCACTTGAAAGCCGTGAATTTCTGGCTGTACTAAAAAGCTTTCAACACTAGGGTTAGGTGTTCCTATGAAGACAAATAAAATTCCACATTTTTAAAAACCACCTTTGGCCGGGCGTGGTGGCTAACGCCTGTAAAATCCCAGCACTCTGGGAGGCTAAGGTGGGCAGATCACGAGGTCAGGAGATCGAGACCATCCTGGCTAACATGGTGAAACCCTGTCTCTACTAAAAAAAAAAAAATACAAAAAATTAGCCAGGCATGATGGTGGGCGCCTGTAGTCCCAGCTATTCGGGAGGCTGAGGCAGGAGAATGGGGTGAACCTGGGAGGCGGAGCTTGCAGTGAGTGGAGATCCTGCCATTGCACTCCAGCCTGGGTGACAGAGCAAGACTCCGTCTCAAAAAAATAAAAAAATGAAAATAAATATATAATAAAAACCACCTTTGAATTTAAAAATAGTTTTAATGTTGGAGCTAGCCCAGTTGTATGAGTGTGCTGAAGAAGCCAGTCTCTGCTTGCCTTCCTATAGCTCCAATTAGACATTTTTAATTACAGTGCAATCGCTGCAACTATTCTGGGCCATTTCAACCCATCCCACTCCACGAATACTCAGCTCAGTCTTAGCATTGGACATCAGTAGCAAGCAACTAGATGCTCCCACCTCAGGAAGCTTCTAATTTTGTGGGGACTACCCCTGTTGTGCTTATTGCTAAACTTATACTTCAGTGAACCTTTCAATTCTACATAATATATTCCAACTCATTTTGTGGAATCTGATTTTTTTTTTTTTTTGCTGACTTTCCTTTCACAGGTATTTAGTAAGTCAATGACGGGCAGCAGCAAGCCAGGCTTCTATTATAGTAATAATAATCAGATAACCAATAATCACTGAGGATTCTGTACATTCCAAAGCCATGCCAGGGGTCAAGAGCAAATACTTAGTGTCCTTACTATGTACAGGGCACTATTCTAAACATTTGGCTTATATTAACAGATTTAATCCTCACAGTTCAATATGCATGAACATTATTTTTCAGATGAGGAATCTGAGATGAAAGAGATTAAGAAAACTGCCCAAGGTTATGCTAACGAGCCTTAAAACTGGGATTTCAGCCTAGGCAGTGTGGCACCAGAGGTCTGATCATGACCATGAAGTGATAAACACAAGTATCCTCTAAGTTAGGTATCATCGTCTTAATTTTCCAGGGCAGGAAACTGAAGTTGAAGGATTTAAGAAAATGTGGTAGTAACTGGAGTTGTTTATGAATCTTCCCGTTCTCCTCTGGCACATGAGAAGATTGTGATACAGGATTTTTTGCTCCTTAGTTTAGCTAAATCCAGTTCTTGTCTTACAACCAGGAAAAATTAGGCACACAGAGACATCGAAGACTGAGGAGGATGGAATTTATTAAGTGAAAAGAAAGCTCCCAACAAAGAGAGGGGTCCTTCATGCAGGTTTCCACCTCACAAAAATTGAATGGCAGGCCACCACACGTGAGTTGAAGAGGCCAGGCTCTTTCCCCTCATAATTCATGAATTCCTGGTGGCTCCACCCATTCTCCTAGTGGTTGTGGGGCATGCCCAGACAAGCCCCCTGTGCTGGCTCCCATATCTGCACAAAGCATCTGGTGTAAAGACTTGTGGGTCGGGTTGGAGATGTGGCTGTGTCCTGCCTCTATCAATTGCACTTCTCTACATCTTCTGAGGTTAGGTGTGGCTGTGTGACTTGTTTTCATCAATGAAATGTGAACAGAAGAGCCAGGGAAGTATTAAGAGCTTGTGTGCCCTTCCTTCTGTGTTGGTGAGAGGTTTTTCAAGACGGAGGCTTTGTCACCTTGATCCTTGAGTGACTAGACTGGATAGTGCCCCTCTGCTGACTGCTGTTGGACACATTGGTTAATTGATAAACTTCTGAGATTCAAGGCAGGGTTGGAGGAAGGAGACTATTTGTAACCACACGTAATCTTGTCTAACTTAATTTGCCTAAATATCTTTCACACACTCTTAAGCTTGTTGGTGCCAGGTATTTATCTGGAATCGAGGGCTCTCTGACTTAACAATCCATGGTTTTTTCATTTATTTCCTCTCTTTTGGTATCATATGACCTGCAGGAACCCAAATTTCATTCTTTTGCTTGCCTTTTAATTTTATGATAGTAATGAAAGTGCCTAAAAAATTCAATCTGATGTCTATGGTTAGTCTAAGATTAAGATTAAGAAAATGTAGAGGAAAAATCTGTCATTCTCTGGCCTACATGTTTGGTCTGGAGCTTTAATATGATGATCTGCAGGATTAGGAGAAATTTTCCTGGCTTGCTTAATCCCGAGATTCAAGTTCTAGCAAACAACCGTCAGCAATAATGTTAGCTAAAGAATGCTAATATGTCCTAAATGTTACTCATATTTCTCACTGTGCTTATAGTTTTCATGGTGTGAGCTGCTACAAGAGTTCACCCTTTTTTAGGTTGTCACTCAGACATTCTGTAAAGTAATTCCATCATCCATATATATATATATATATATATATATATATATATATATATATATATATATGTATGTATGTTACTGAAACGCCATGGGTTCATCTGGGTCCTGCCGCTTGCTGCACAGAAAGCCAGTGACTGAGACGAAGAGTACTGCCAAGGAAGAAGGCTTTAATCTGATGCTGCAGCCAAGGAGATGGGAGCTCAGTCCCAAATCCATCTCCCTGACCAACTAAAACTAGGGGTTTATATAGCAGGGTCTTCCCTGCTATGTAACAATGTGTAAGAAAACAAGAACTAGAGAGGAGGGGTAACGAAGCAATCATGATGAATGAAGGGTCTGGCATCTCATTGTCTGGATGTGGTGATCTGGTGAGTTTCAGTTCTTTAATTTTCTTTTTCTTTTGAGAGGTCTGAATGTGGTTTCCTGAGGAAGGAACTCTGATAAAACAAATGTAAGTTTCAAATTTTAAAACCAGATGGGCAATTTCTATGTTTATCCAAAAAAAACTGTCTAGGGGACTATTGGGTCGGTTTCATATATATATAAAATCACTTTATGTACACAACACCAAATTATCCGGGTTCATATGTTTAAATTTAGAATTGTGGGGATTTCCCAATCTACCAGCTGAGTATGCTCAACAGGTTAGCTGGATAGCATTGACTATCATGACAGTGAACAACAGAGAATCACATGCAACTCTGAGTCTTTCCTGAGGAGTATCTTCCTGAAACTAAATGAATAGAAGATTCTGAGAACCTTGCTTTTTCCATTATTTGATTATGGAATGACCTATGGGGCAATACATGTTCATGTAATATGGAAAAAACAAAAAGAAGGCTTTAACCGCTTAATTAGCAGGCCTAATTTTTTAGAGTTGGGATTCTCTCTTTCTTTTACTTGCTGAAAATTGACTGTTTGGTTACTTTCACTTTATAAGTTTACTTTATTCATTTAATCACAAAATTCCTAAGCATTCAGTGACTCATAAAGTAGATTATTTGTTTATAATCCTGCCTCATTCTAGAAATGACTAAAGGCAATAAAGTTATGTTTAACCTTGGCAAATATTGGTTAAATGATACTAAGCTAACTTTTTTGGGATGAACTATACAGTGAATAGATTATGTAGGATTGGGATGTTTTTATTTTAATTTAGAAATAATTATAGATTTATAGGAAGTTGCAAAAATTGTTTGGAGAGATCCTATGTACCTTTCACCCAGGTTCCCCCAGTGGTCACATTTTACAACATTTGCTACAGCACAGTAGCAAGACCAGGAAACTGACATTGGTACAATTGTGTGTGTGTGTGTGTGTGTGTGTGTGTGTGTGTGTGTAGTTCTACACCATGTTATTACATGCATAGATTCTTGTAACCACCACTGCAGTTAATATACAAATTAGTATACAGATTACTTTTGCTATATCATTTTTTTCTAAAATCTAAAGACATGAAACTTTTTTGAATCTTAAAGGGATGAAGCCCTTCTTGGTGACTTGAACAGCATCATCATTTTCTGTTGGTAATAACAACTAGCAAATAAAGCTTAGATGAAACTTACACTCCTGTGTAAAGTGTAGCTCTTCCAGTAGGTCCTGTGTTTAGTCTAATATCTACTTAATTACAGTAAGTGTTCAGGCTTTTTGTTGTTCTATTTGTTTTGCGAGCAGGGATTTGATATAAATCTAAATACGACAAGCTTTCGTTAAAAAAAATATTGACCTTCCATTTAGAACAATGTGGTCTTTCACTGTATTGAGCTTATGTGGATGTATATTACTGTAGAAGAATTTTACAGGAGATAAATTCCTATGAAATATTCTCATTGCTATCTTAATTAGAAATAATCTTTTTATGCCCCCACTGTAGGTGGTAAGTCCCCCATGTTCAGTGAATATACTTGCGATTAGGTCATAGTCTATTATTAGGAACATACAGGCAGCCAACTGGCAAATGGATTGTTATCCTGCCTAAGGAGAAGAGAAAAAAATTAAGGTAAAATTAAAATGCCAATACATGCTGAGAAAGAGCTAATAGAAAGCATGTGACATTATGTACACTGGTGATACTCAAATGAAACAATGGAACCTATTAAAAGGTACCTATGTGGATTTTATTCTTTGAGAAATGGACTAGGGTAGGGGGTAGAAAGGCAGGGAAAGAATGAAGACAGTGTATTGAAAGAGAAGATTGTTTGACCCATTTATCTGAAATAAAAATCCTAAGTTTTATAAGATCCTCAAATATTTGGCTACATTTTCAGGTAGATGTGCATGCATAAATGTTAAATGGCTAAAAGAAAATGGGTTATAGTCTACCAATAGTGTGTCACATAGCTTTAAAAGTACTGCTTTAAAAATCATCAATTTAGAGGGAGGATTTGGGTGGCAAGCAACAGGACTCTGCTTTCAATCCTGTCCTACACCACATTTTAATTTTTATTAAAATGAAAACATTGTTGGAATTATGATTTATTTTTTAAAAGAAGCAAACAGTGTTACAGTAGATGAATCAAGGTCCAAGTGAAATCTCAGCAGCCTGAAAGGATGGGCAGGGTTGGATACAAAGAAATTGAATTGGTATAAATATGGAAGTCCAGCTCCTGGAGTCAGACAGCTAATTGCACAAGGACTTCATGGGGGACATGTGACTTACCATCACATGTGGAAAAAGACTTGTGAATTTTCCTAACCACTACCTATGTGGCCCACAGAGTGACATGATGTTCCAAAAAACGAATACAACCTGTATGCGATCGTAGACACATACACCACACCCCAAAACATGCTACACAGGATATAATTTTCAAAGTAGGACAACAAACTGCCTACTTTATTTTAAGTTGGCATTTTCCAAGTAGTTCTGTGTTCATTACTGCACAATAGAGGTATAAGTAAAGCAGGGCATGTCTAAAACAATGTGGCCATTTGATGAAGGGCACTCGAAAATGTATGATTGAGCCAATCACAGATACTGAGGAAACTTGAGGCCAGGATTTTGAGGCTGCAGTGTGCTACGATTGTGCCTGTGAATGACCACTGCATTTCAGCGTGGGAAACATGGCAAAACCTCATCTCTTAAAAAAAATTAAATTAAAAATGTATTATGGAAAACCATGGTGCATTGCTGTCTTCAATAATAAAGGACTAGAGCAAGGATAGAGGCTTAGATTTAAACTTTGTTTGCTCCAACCCTTGAAGATACATAGAAGCAGAATTCAATACAACATAATTTTTAGCCATATTTAGAGAATCCAAAAATGAAGCAGGCTCATTTGGAGGCAGTGAGTCCCTTATTACTGGAAATATTCGAGCAGGAATTTCAGTAGCCACTGAGCAATGGAAATGTTAGTTTCTTCAACCCTGAAATTTTATTAAATGTGTATCAGCAAATCGCAGGTGTACCACTTACCTCATTCTTGAGTAGCACTTAACTTCTATGGGCCTCAGTTTTCTCTCATTTAATGGACTGAGGGGTGATAATAACTTACAAAGCTGTTAGAAAAATTAAAATGAAGTTAAAGAACAATACAGGGCCAGCGTGGTGGCCCACGCCTGTAATCCCAGCACTTTGGGAGGTCGAGGCGGGTGAATCATAAGGTCAGGAGTTTAAGACCAGCCTGGCCAAGATGATGAAACCCCATCTCTACTAAAACTACAAAAATTAGCTGGATGCAGTGGCAGACAACTGTAATCCCAGCTACTCAGGAGGCTGAGGCAGGAGACTCATTTGAACCCAGGTGGCAGATGTTGCAGTGACCCAAGATTGTGCCACTGCACTCCAGCCTGGGTGACAGAGTGAGAGCCTGTCTCAAAAAACAAAAAACAAAACAAAAAAAAAACAGTAACAGTATCCTGATTCCAAATCTCCTCCTCACATCCCTCAAATAAACATAAGATCCACAAGGAGAACAAATGAAACTATACAGGACCTAAGAATTAAGGATTGTTAAGAGATAGAAAACACTGCAACCCTGATGACACCTTGATTTCAACATTGTGAAACCAGAGCAGAAAACCAAGCAAGCCAACTTAACCTCTGACCTACAGGAACATACAAGTATTACATGAAGACCAACATGAAGAAAACTACCGACTCTGCTGAGACCACAAACTCCTGGTACAAACATGAAATGAATGCATGTGATACGTTCTGGACAAATAATTGATTACACTGTGTATTAGTCTGTTCTCATGCTGCTAATTAAAGACATACCTGAGACTGGATAATTTATAAAGGAAAAAAGTTTTAATGAACTCATAGTTCCACGTAGCTGGGGAGGCCTCACAATCATGGTGGAAGGTGAAAGACACGTCTTACGTGGTGGCAGGCAAGAGGGAATAAGAGCCAAGTGAAAGGGGAAACCCCTGCTAAAGCCATCAGATCTCATGAGACTTACCCACTACCACAAGAACAACATTATGGGGGAACTGCCCCCATGATTAAATTGTCTCCTAACGGATCCTTCCCACAACACATGGGAATTAGGGGAGCTACAATTCAAGATGAGATTTGGATGGAGACACATCCAAACCATATCCCACCAAAGTTAATTTAGTTTTAAAAAAATAGGTGAGAAAACAATAGGTAAAAACAGTCAAGAAGGTTTTGACAAAATTATATTGAAGGAGACAAGCCATACCCAGATATTGAAAAGTTCTTCAAAGTTACAATAATTAAAATGACACAGTGTTGACTCAGGTATAGACAAACACATTAGTGAAATGGAAAAGAGAGCCTACAAATAAAATCATGTATATGATATAGATAGCTATAAACCAATAGATAAAGAATAAACTATTTGATAAATAGTACTAGGACAGTTGATTAACTACTGGGGGAAAATGTTAGATCTTTATATTATATTGCAAAGTAAATTGTAGCTAGATTAAAGAGTTAAATATTTTCAAAAGGCCAAATAGGTGTATGTTTATGTCATCTGAAGATGGAGGAGAACCTTCCAAGCATTAGAGCAATATTTTAAAATCCACAAGAAAATGGACTAATATAAAGATAATTAAAACCTTACCTATCTGAATATGCCAAACAAAATATGAAAACACATAATTTGGGGAAAGACCTGCAAACTTAAGACACAGAGAGGATTTATTGTCATAATATCTGAGGCATACATCATTAAGATAGACTTTAGTAGAAAAATGGGAAAATAAATGCTAATTCACAAAAGAAGACATTCAAATAACTAATAAAATGCTTAAAAGTTTTAACACCAGACCTGGGCAAGATGACAGAATAGGAACAGCTCTCATCTGCAGCTCCCAGTGATATCAACACAGAGGCGGGTGATTTCTGCATTTACAACTGAGGTACCTGGCTCATCTCATTGCGACTGGTTAGACAGTGGGTACAGCCCACGGAGGGCAAGCTGAAGCAAGGTGGGGCTTTGCCTCACCCAGGGAGTGCAAGGGGTCGGGGAATTCCCTCTCCTAGCCAAGGGAAGCTGTGAGGGACTGTGCTGTGAGAAATGGTACATTCCGGCTCAGATACTTCGCTTTTCCCATGGTCTTCGCAACCTGCAGATCAAGAGATTCCCTCAGGTGCCTACACCACCAGGGCCCTGGGTTTCAAGCACAAAACTGGGTGGCCATCTGGGCAGACACTGAGCTAGCTGCTGTTTGTTTTGTTTTGTTTCTTTTCATACCCCAGTGGTGCCTGGAACGCCAGCAAGACAGAACCGTTTACCCCCCTGGAAAGGGGGCTGAAGCCAGGGAGCCAAGTGGTCCAGCTCAGCGGATCCCACCCCCACAGATCCCAGCAAGCTAAGATCCACTGGCTTGAAATTCTTGCTGCCAGCACAGCAGTCTGAAGTCGACCTGGGGTGCTGGAGCTTGGTGGGGGGAGGGGTGTCCACCATTACTGAAGCTTGAGTAGGCAGTTTTCCCCTCACAGTATAAACAAAGCCTCCAGGAAGTTCGAACTGAGTGGAGCCCCCTGCAGCTCAACAAAGCTGCTGTAGCCAGACTGCCTCTCTAGATTACTCCTCTCTGGGCAGGACATCTCTGAAACAAAGGCTGCAGCCCCAGTCAGGGGCTTATAGATAAAACTCACATCTCCCTGGGACAGAGCACCTGGGGGAAGGGGCGGCTGTGGGTGCAGCTTCAACAGACTTAAATGTTTCTGCCTGCTGGCTCTGAAGAGAGCAGCAGATCTCCCAACATAGGACTCAAGCTCTGCTAAGGGACAGACTGCCTCCTCACGTGGATCCATGACCCCCGTGCCTCCCGACTGGGAGACACCTCCCAGCAGGGGTCAACAGACACCTCATACAGGAGAGCTCTGGCTGGCATCTGGCGGGTGGCCCTCTGGGACAAAGCTTCCAGAGGAAGGACCAGGCAGCAATCTTTGCTGTTCTGCAGCCTCTGCTGGTGACATCCAGACAAACAGGGTCTGGAGTTGGCTTCCAGCAAACTCCAGCAGACCTGCAGCAGAGGGGCCTGACTGTTTGAAGGAAAACTAACAAACAGAAAGGAAGAGCATCAACATCAACAAAAGGATGTCCACACAAAAACCCTATCTGAAGGTCACCAACATCAAAGACCAAAGGTAGATAAATCCAAGAAGATGGGGAAAAACCAGTGCAAAAAGGCTGAAAATACCAAAAACCAGGACGCCTTTTCTCCTCCAAAGGATCACAACTCCTTGCCAGCAAGGGAAAAAAACTAGACAGAGAATGAGTTTGACGAATTCACAGAAGTAGGCTTCAGAAGGTGGGTAATAACAAACTCCTCTGAGCTAAAGGAGCATGTTCTAACCCAATGCAAGGAAGCTAAGAACCTTGAAAAAAGGTTAGAGGAATTGCTAACTAGAATAACCAGTTTAGAGAAGAACATAAATGACCTGATGGAGCTGAAAAAAACAGCACAAGAACTTCATGAAGCATACACAAGTATCAATAGCCAGATTAATCAAGCAGAAGAAAGGATATCAGAGGTTGAACATGCACTTAATGAAATAAAGCCTGAAGACAAGTTTACAGAAAAAAGAATGAAAAAGAATGAACAAAGCATCCAAGAAATATGGGACTTTGTGAAAAGACCAAACCTACATTTGATTGATGTACCTGAAAGTGACAGGGAGAATGGAACCAAGTTGGAAAACACTCTTCAAGATATTATCCAGGAGAACTTCCCCAACCTAGCAAGGCAGACCAACATTCAAATTCAAGAAATACAGAAAACACCACAAAGATACTCCTCGAGAAGAGCAACCCCAAGACACATAATTGTCAGATTCACCAAGGTTGAAATGAAGGAAAAAATGTTAAGGGCAGCCAGAGAGAAAGGTCAGGTTACCCAGAAAGGGAAGCCCCTGAGACTAACAGCCAGTCTCTCTGCAGAAACCCTACAAGCCAGAAGAGAGTGGGGGCCAATAATCAACATTCTTAAAGAAAAGAATTTTCAACCCAGAATTTCATATCCAGCCAAACTAAGCTTCATAGCAAAGAAGAAATAAAATCCTTTACAGACAAGCAAGTGCTGAGATATTTTGTTACCACCAGGCCTGCCTTACAAGAGCTGCTGAAGGAAGCACTAAATATGGAAAGGAAAAACCGGTACCAGCTACTGCAAAAACATACTGTAAAGACCATCGACACTGTGAAGAAACTGCATCAACTAACGGGCAAAATAACCAGCTAGCATCATAATGACAGGATCAAATCCACACATGTAAATGGGCTAAATGCCCCAATTAAAAGACACAGACTGGCAAATTGGATAGAGTCAAGACCCATTGGTGTGCTGTATTCAGGAGACCCAACTCACGTGCAGAAACACACTTAGGCTCAAAATAAAGAGATGGAGGAATATCTACCAAGCAAATGGAAGGGAAAAAAAAAAACGGGTTGCAATCCTAGTCTCTGGTAAAACAGACTTTAAACCAACAAAGATCAAAAAAGACAATGAAGGGCATTACATAATGGTAAAGGGATCAATGCAACAAGAAGAGCTAACTCTTCTAAATATATATGCACCCAATACAGGAGCACCCAGATTCATAAAGCAAGTTCTTCGAGACCTACAAAGAGACTTAGACTCCCACACAATAATAGTGGGAGACTTTAACACCCCACTGTCAATATTAGACAGATCAGCGAGACAGAAAATTAACAAAGATATTCAGGACTTGAACTCAGCTCTGGACCAAGCGGACCTAATAGACATCTACAGAACTCTCCACCCCAAATCAATGGAATATACATTCTTCTCAGCACCACATTGCACTTATTCTAAAATTAACCACATAATTGGAAGTAAAACACTCCTCAGCAAATGCAAAAGAATGGAAATCATAACAAACAGCCTCTCAGACCACAGTGCAATCAAATTAGAACTCAGGATTAAGAAACTCACTCAAAACCACACAACTACATGGAAACTAAACAAAGAATGACTACTGGGTACATAACGAAATTAAGGCAGAAATAAGTAAGTTCTTTGAAACCAATGAGAACAAAGACGTGATGTACCAGAATCTCTAGGACACATTTAAAGCAGTATGTAGAGGGAAATTTATAGCACTAAATGCCCACAGGAGAAAGCAGGAAAGATCTAAAATCAACACCCTAACATCACAATTAAAAGAACTAGAGAAGCAAGATCAAACAAATTCGAAAGCTAGCAGAAGACAGGAAATAACTAAGATCAGAGCAGAACTGAAGGAGATAGAGACACAAAAAGCCCTTCAAAAAATTAATGAATCCAGGAGCTGGTTTTTTAAAAGATTAACAAAATAGATAGACTGCTAGCCAGACTGATTAAAGAAGAAAAGAGAAGAATCAAATAGACGCAATAAAAAATGATAAAGGGGATGTCACCACTAATCCCACAGAAATACAAACTACCATCAGAGAATACTATAAACACCTCTATGCAAATAAATTAGAAAATCTAGAAGAAATGAATAAATTCCCCGACACATACATCCTCCCAAGACTAAACCAGGAAGAAGTCGAATCCCTGAATAGACCAATAACAAGTTCTGAAATTGACGCAGTAATTAATAGCCTACCAAACAAAAAGAGCCCAGAACAAGATGGATTCACAGCCGAATTTTACCAGGGGTACAAAGAGGAGCTACTACCATTTACCAGGGATACAAAGAGGAGCTAGTAAAATTCCAAATAACAGAAAAAGAGGGATGCCTCCCTAACTCATTTTATGAGGACAGCATCATCCTGATACCAAAACCTGGCAGAGAAAACAAAAAAAGAAAATTTTAGTTCAATATCCCTGATGAAAATTGATGCGAAAATCCTCAATAAAATACTGGCAAAGCGAATCCAGCAGCACATTAAAAAACTTATCCACCACAATCAAGTCGTCTCCATTCCTGGGATGCAAGGGATGTGTTCAACATACGCAAATGAGTAAACGTAATTCATCACATAAACAGAACCAATGACAAAAACCACATGATTATCTCAATAGATGCAGAAAAAGCCTTCGATAAAATTCAAAACCCCTTCATGCTAACAACTCTCAATAAACTAGGTGTTGATGTAACGTATCTCAAAATAATAAGAGCTATTTATGACAGACCCACAGCCGATATACTGAGTGGGCAAAAGCTGGAAGCATTCCCTTTGAAAACTGGCACAAGACAAGGATGCCCTCTCTCACCACTCCTATTCAACATAGTATTGGAAGTTCTGTCCGTGGCAGTCAGGCGAGAGAAAGAAATAAAGAGTATTCAAATAGGAAGAGAGGAAGTCAAATTGTCTCTGTTTGCAGATGACATGATTGTTATATTTAGAAAACCCCACCGTCTCAGCCCAGTATCTTCTTAAGCTGATAGGCAACTTCAGCAAAGTGTCAGGATACAAAATCAATGTGCAAAAATCATTAGCATTCCTATACACCAATAATAGACAAGCACAGAGTGAAATCATGAGTGAACTCCCATTCACAATTGCTACAAAGAGAATAAAATACCTAGGAATCCAACTTACAAAGGATGTGAAGGACCTCTTCAAGGAGATCTACAAACCACTGCTCAAGGCAATAAGAGAGGACAGAAACGAATGGAAAAACATTCCATGCTCATGGATAGGAAGAATCAATATCGTGAAAATGGCCATACTACCCAAAGTAATTTATAGATTCAGTGCTATCCCCATCAAGCTACCATTGACTGTCTTCACAGAATTAGAAAAAGCTACTTTAAATCTCATATGGAACCAAAAAAGACCCCATATAGCCAATAGATTCGTAAGGAAAAAGAACAAAGCTGGAGGCATCACGCTACCTGACTTCAAACTATACTACAAGGCTACAGTAACCAAACAGCATGGTACTGGTACCAAAACAGATATATAGACCAATGGAACAGAACAGAGGCCTCAGAAATAGAGCCACACATCTACAACCATCTAATCTTTGACAAACCTGACACAAACAAGCAATGGGGAAAGGATTCCCTATTTAATAAATGGTGTTGGGAAAACTGGCTAGCCATATGCAGAAAACTGAAACTGGATCCCTTCCTTACACCTTACACAAAAATTAACTCAAGATGGATTAAAGACTTAAATGTAAGACCCAAAACTATAAAAACCCTAGAAGAAAACCTAAGCAATATCATTCAAGACATAGGCATGGGCAAAGACTTCATGACTCAAACACCAAAAGCAATGGCAACAAAAGCCAAAATTGACAAATGGGATCTAATTAAACTAAATAGCTTCTGCACAGCAAAAGAAACTATCATCAGAATGAACAGGCAACCTACAGAATGGGGGAAAATTTTTGCAATCTATCCCCCTGACAAAGGGCTAATGTCGAGAATCTACAAGGAACTTAAACAAATTTAGAAGAAAACAAAAACACTGATCAAAAAATGGGCAAAGGATATGAACAGACACTTCTCAAAAAAAGACATTTATGTAGCCAACAAACATGAAAAAAAGCTCATCGTCACTGGTCATTAGAGAAATGCAAATCAAAACCACAATGAGATACCATCTCACGCCACTTAGAATGGTGATCATTAAAAAGTCAGGAAACAACAGATGCTGGAGAAGATGTGGAGAAATAGGAACGCTTTTACACTGTTGGTGAGAGTGTAAATTAGTTCAACCATTGTGGAAGACAGTGTGGCAATTCCTCAAGGATCTAGAACCAAAAATACCATTTGACCCAGCAATTCCATTACTGGGTATATATACCCAAAGGATTATAAATCATTGTACTATAAAGACACATGCACACATGTGTTTATTGCAGCACTATTCACAATACCAAAGACTTGGAACCAACCCAAATTCCCATCTGTGATAGACTGGATAAAGAAAATATGTCACATGGAATACTATGCAGCCATAGAAAGGATGAGTTCATGTCCTTTGCAGGGACATGGATGAAGCTGGAAACCATCATTTTCAGCAAACTAACACAGGAACAGAAAACCAAACACTGCATGCTCTCACTCATAAGTGGGAGTCGAACAATGAGAACACATGGACACAGGGAGGGGAACATCACACACCGGGGCCTGTTGGGGGCTGGGGGGCTAGGAGAGGGATAGCATTAGGAGAAATACCTAATGTAGATGACAGGTTGATGGGTGCAGCAAACCACCATGGCACGTGTATAACTATGTAACAAACCTGCACGTTCTGCACATGTAGCCCAGAACTTAAAGTATATATATATATATAAAAGTTTCTACACTAAGAATAATCACAAAAGTTTCTAAAATAAAAGTTCTCTAACATGTAGAGCAATCTTTTCTGATTGAAAAGTTAAGCCTTCATGAAACAGTCCATTGGCTTCACAGCCATATCAGATTGAGAATCTAAGTTGGTGTAATACATCTTTTGAGCTGCATTTTTTAAAGCTTTGGACTGTGTCAGTGAAGTATGCAATCCTATTGATCAACTATTCCAACTGGTTATCCCTGAGATTACAAAACCTTTTTCCAGAATTAAAGGAGAAAAGCGTCAATTTTTGATGAAACCTTATAGGGAAGATAAATTTTAATATGCTAATTTTATGCCAGAAACAAATGAATATGTACAACTTATTATGATAAACATAACTTCTATAGCATTTGGAATTTTAAAACCTTATGGACCTTCCTGGGCCACTGGGAGTTAACAGATAAGATTTTTTGAATCATAGATTCAATGCAGGTCAAATTGGCCTTAGTTTTGCTTGCCCTAATTTCAACTAGCATGATTACCGTGATGGAATCAGGGTTGGGTCAATATTCTCTGGCCTTCTGTAGGGGCACTTTAGTGTAGAAACAATCCCAAGGCAGAAGCAGTAGACTACAATTATGTTAAATTATTTTTAGGTCCATAAATGGATACATTTGCGGGTTCTATTGTTACAAAGAGTGATAAGATAAAACCTTGTTTTCAACTGCAGATTCCATGTCTATGAAGCAGGAGCTATCAGAACATGATAGTAGCATGTTCCTTCCTTCCTTGGTGCTGGGTGAGGGAATGGTGGTGTTGGTGAAAGATGAAGATTAAGAATAGGGAAATATTAGGAATAACAATAAAATCAATGTTTTTTCAAGTCTGCACTAAACTGAAATAATTTGCTTGTATACTCAACTTGTATGGAGATTAAATAAATATTTTTCACAGTCAGGAATAAAATGGCTATCAACCCCCTCTGTTTATAAATGTGGTTCTCAAAATCTAGGCTTAGTATGATTTATTAATGATGATATAATGAAAGCCATCTTCATATTAATTAAAAGTTAGTTTTATTAAATATAAAAAACAAACACAAGAATAGCAAGGAAACTACTAAATAAGAAGACCTCTGGGATGAGGTAGTGGGAGCAAGGCAGAACTACTCCCAGGTATAAAAATGTGTTTCAAAGCTCTTTCATTAAATGGTAAGTACTGGCACAAGAATAAACTGTCAGATAAAGGGAGTAAAATAAACCTCCAGAAGTAGATCCAGCTACATATAAAAATTTATGACAAAAGTGGTATCTCAAAAATCACTCGGACAAAAATGCTCTGTTTACTATACAGTGTGGGGACTAGTGGATAGCTGTTTGGAAAAAGATAAAGGTAGATCCATTTCTTTCATCACACCCAAGAATAAACTCCAAATGGATCAGAGATCTAAATATAAAAAGTAAAACTATGCAAGTACCAAAAAGAAAAAAAACACCCCATGAGTGAATTCTTCTGAAACCAGTGTATAAGGAAAAGCTTTCTAAGTGTGACTACGGTCCCATACACAATAAAAGACTGATAAATTTGACTACATAATAAAAATTTTACATGGCCTGAAAAATACCACTAAGTCAAAGACAGCTGACAAACTGGGAGAAAATAGTCACAACATATATCAGATAAAAGGTTAACTCCTTTATTTGAGAACTTTCTAAAAAAAAGGAAAAAAGATCTACAGAAATCCTATAGAAAAAGACCTGTAGAAATCCTATTGAAAGAAACAAAAAGATATAAAAATAGCCCTTGATCACATGAAAATATATGTAATTTTAATCACATAAAAATGTAAATTAAAACTACATTGAAATTCCATTTTTCACCGAAAAAGTTGGCAAAAATTCAAAAGCTTGATAACACATTCTGTTGACGAGACAGTGGAGAAACAGCAATGCCATACTTGCTGATGGATAGGTGCAACTCCTCTGGAGAGGAATTTAGCCATCTATAAGCAACTATCTATGCCCAAATCTCATCACAGAAATCCCTCTATGAATTTATTTTAAATGTATATCTTTAATAATATGAAACTATAAAAACATAGGTATTAAGTTATTCATAGAATACTGTTTATAATTGTTGAGCATAGAAGATTGGTTGAATAAACTATGGTACATACAGAAAATGGAGTACTATACAGCTGTAAGACAGAATAAGGAGGAACACTATTTACTGTTAGGGAATGATTTCTGGGAGACTTAATTAAGGGGAAAAAAGCAAAATGCAAAAATGTATATATAGTATGCTAACTTTGTGTATAAAAGAAGGGACATTTTTAAAATTTATATAAATGCCTATTTTTACAGAAAGGAACACTGGAAGCACAAATCAGAAAACAAGTTAGTTGCCTTTAGGAGTTTGGGGAAATTGGATAGAAGGAATACAGAAAGAAGTGACACATCTCTGATTATACCTTTTTTGTACAGTTTGACTTTTGAAAGCATGTTAATATTCTACATATTCCAAAAATAAAATCAATATGAATAAGAAGGAAGTTCCTTCTTTTTTTTTTTTTTTTGAGACAGAGTCTCGCTCTGTTGCCCAGGCTGGAGTGCAGTGGCATGATCTCGGCTCACTGCAACCTCCACCTCCCAGGTTTAAGCAATTCTCCTGCCTTAGCCTCCCGAGTAGCTGGGACTACAGGTGCGTGCCACCAGGCCTGGCTAATTTTTTGTATTTTTAGTAGAGACGGGGTTTCACCGTGTTAGCCAGGATGGTCTTGATCTCCTGACCTTGTGATCCACCCGCCTCGGCCTGCCAAAGTGCTGGGATTACAGGTGTAAGCCACCGTGCCCTGCCAGAAGGAAGTTCTAAAACTGAAAGCAAACTAAAATACATGAACCTAACTATATTTCAAATAAACGCCACAGCCATACTAAAGGAAAGTAAAGGAAGGAGGAAAGACCAACTAAAGTAACTTATAAATACAGTATCTAACTATATCCCCTCATTCTTGGGGTAGGAGGGGAGGAAGAACTGCAAGCAAATCTCAAAATCTTGGTAGATTTGTTACTGTAATGACATGGGCAAAGCAATTCCAAACCTACTTCAGGTATACCAAAGGGTTGCACAAATGAATAAATGTGTTGATGTGGTTGGAAGTTCTCACTGTGGAAGAAGGGACATATAAATATGGAATGATGGAAGGCAAGAATGTATACTTTGGGAGTGGATTGGAACTGCAGTTTTGATATGAACTCATAATTTCTCAAATATGCATACATTTATGTGCACAGATAGATGCACGTGTATATTTACACATGTCTGTTTATTGATGTGCATGTGTATGCGTATGTGTGTATGTGTTTGTTTATACATATGTGCCTAGATTGCCTAGCTCTCCTTACTGAGAAAGCCAAGAAGCAAAGACCAGAGTAGCCATGAGCAAACCTAACACCCAGACCATGGTCCTCACTAAAAGGAACCAAGGCTTCTAGGAGAAATGTCTGATTCCAGGGTTCAGACGGAGTAGCTTGCTCCTGAGGAAATGGGCTACCTGTGGCATCCAACATTTGTATTCCTCTTCCTTCAAATCCTAGGGAGCCAGCCATAGTTTCTTCCACCTACTATTGATATGGTTATCAGCCAGTTTTCCTGGGCTTCCATGAAGTTTATAGTGATCCTCAGGATATTAAAGAACTTCTACCAATCCCAAATTGTCATTTATTTTTATCCTGTGTTCCTGTGAACACTTTTTTAAAGGCAATGTAAAACTTGGATCTTAATAGCCATCATAGTAAGCTTCCCTTATTTGTAATTGGTTCCACATTTCTACTCCCATATGTTTTTGTCAGACATTATAAATCTGAAAGGTTTTCTAGAACACAAAATAAATGTCAGAAACAGAGGCAACAGCAAATTAAACAGCTTACATTGCAGAATACACTCAGTATAGCATGGATAAAAACTCATTGGTCAAGAGGATTTACAGTGTGAATTTGCTGAAGCTTATTGGCCCTACAAGCTCAATAGCTGACAGTGCAGCTGCCCTCAGAGCATGGGGAAAAATACATCAGAAACAAATGGCACTCTAATAAATTGGCCCTCTAACATCTTCCAGATGTGAACATAACATTTTTACTACCAATAGGATTTGAGTGAAGATTATAGTTTAAATTATCAGCCACAATAGTGTGTCCCAATCCCTGGGGCAACCTACCTGAAGGAGAGTTACCTAGTCACCCAGAATTGCTGCCATCCAAGGCCTTTGGCCTTTACATTTACATGGAGGCAGGTCTGAGCTCTGTTCCAGACAGGCTCAACTTAGTGAAGCAGGGTCCAAGCAGTCACCAAGCAGACAGGCTATGCTTCTTTCCTTGTAGAAGAGTTAGGGCGAGGAAAAGCAACTGAAAGTTATTCTTCCCAGGGTTCAGATAAGGCGTTAACTGCCTAATTTACAGGCCCAAGAAGGACCTGCACGTCATGGCAAATTTTGAGTTCTGTAGTTTTTTTAAGTGTGAGCTCCCAACTTTCTAGCATGCACCTCTTGCTTCTGCTTCACACTGCTAAGCCATTTTTCCCTTTTTTGTATGAACTTTTATGGCTCCTTCTACAGATTAATTCTGGCATAACAGAAGAGGCTCAAATGACTGTATTATAAGACTGAGGCTCACCCAACATCAATCTTAGTTACATGAGCTGGATTATTACCAGTGTTAATGTTTATTTGCTTAATTTGCTTGTCTTTGGATGAAAAGAAAATGGGATACCGAAAGCATTATGGAGGGAAAATAGATTTTCGTCTTCTCCCTCTCTATCCTTGAACTACCTAGTACTGTACTTTCAAGTGGCTTATGGAAAGGATTAAAAGTGAAGGGTGAAAAGACAAATAGGAGCTGTTTCTATTGTCAGCCTCTGAAGTTCCATGAACAGGCTGAAAGTTCAATTGAGGTCTATGAAAAAATTAGGAGATGCCAAAAGGCCAGCAGCCAAGATTTGTGTCTTTGTGCAAGAACTGAATAGCTACCAACAAACTAGGAAATTTTTAAAACCTTGCCAATGATGGAAAAGTCCTATGAAAAAGAGAGTGAGAAAGGGTGAAACATTTCTGAAATAATTAGATTTATGAACTCGTAAAAGAGTGTTCTCTACAGATCCTAGGCCTCTACGCATGTAGATAACTGAAATTTTAAGACTAAGAAATGACATTTTTTTTTTAATGATGCTGTTAGTAATAGTGGTTGAAATGACTCAGAGCTAACTTGGATTACTTTAGTGAAGGGAAGTGACGTGCATAATTATTAGTCAAAATTGAAGTTTACAACAAGCAAATATGTAAATTTGTAAGATGATTCTATTTTTAAGTTAATAACATGACATCTAGAGGATTTTTTTCTCAGTAATAAATTTCATTAATTACATTCAGAAAATAGTGATTGGCCCTTCTTAATTTTCTTATGCTTCTGAATATTTAAATTAAAAATATATCTATTTTGGTCATCTTTTTAAAAAAGATACTAGTCAACATAGTGAAAAAATTCTGGCTGTGTAAAATGAATTGAAACAAATGCCAAAAAGTAGAAATGTTTTTTATAAAGTGGAATTTGAATTTTTAAGATTAAAGTGACAAAAATATGATTAAGGCAAATATGTAGGATTTTATTTACTGGTCAATTTATAAAACATGTAAATGCTTCAAAATGCTTAGTCAATAATAATTTTCTTTTTTATAATTAGAATCTTTATCAGAAATGAATTTATTGCTGGTTATTTCTGTAAGGACGACTTTTCTGTTAAATCAAGTATCTTAACAGAAAGTTGGCTGTAATAACAGAGAAGAAACAGTAGAGGGCACTTTAGTTCTCTGACAAAATAATAGCATTTCTATAACCTTATAAAAATCAGTAAAATCGACAATGAGATTTGAACTACCTAGTGAAGGTTAAACAAAAATGTAAAGCAAGTTCCTCTGCTTCGCATAGTCTAACAAAAGATATTTCAGGTAAATTTCAACTTCTTTCCTTAAGCAATTCACATAAATCAATTGGGTACCATATGAAAAACATGTTCTCAGATCTGCAAATTAGTGGATCCAACATTTCAAGAGAATTTCATTTTTAAAAATCACACAATTATTTGGAAATTGCCTGACTTGTTGGATGCAGTTGACTTAAGTCAATAAATTCTCATTATCCAGGATTTTTAAGAGGCAAATTGAGTACTCTAAATATGTAAGAATTAGCAGTACATAATTGTATATTTCTTGGTCTTAGACATGTTTCTTATTCATAATTTCCTCTAAAATCATCTTTATCATCATTGCCATCACCATCATAATCATCATTTCAAGGCATAGTTGCCACTTTCAAGTATGTTCCACTCTATAATAATTGAATAAAACAATAAATACATGAAAAAGCAAACAATGGAAAAGACATTGCACAGTTAAATCTAAATTGTGTAGTTTAGTTTGTAAATGAACTCAGGCGAATCATTAAAATTCTCTGGGCCTCAGTTTTTACATTTTATAAATGAGATTCCATACTTGACGATGAGACTCTACAACACTGTCATCCATTCTTACTTTGTATATTGTTCTGTCAAATTTGGTCATCTGTGTCCTAGTTCTCAACAGATTTATGGTGTTTCTTAACCTTTTAGAGTTTAAAGACCTACTGGAAAATCTTATAAAATATATGGAGCTTATACCCCTAAAAAATGCTGTAATGTATACCTTACTCAAAATGAGCATTCATTTCAGGAAGTTCGAGGACCTTCAGAAATCAATCCATGGGCTCCACAAGCACTGTATCAAGAGGCATTCGAGACCAGTCTGGGCTAGAGGGTGAGACCCTGTCTTTATGAAAAAAGAAAAAGAGAGAGAAAAATGAATATTTGATAGAGGCACAAATCATGCAGTTCCCACATATTTGGGGGTTATTCCTAGAAATTTCGTGTGCTGTTGTTGGGTAAAGATAGGCAATGAGGATGGAGAGGGAGGTAGGCCATATCCAGCAATTTTGGACTTTATGAAACAAGAGGAAGTAAACTGGAGTGTTTAAACATAAAGGTGGCCAATATGCATTTTGGACAGCAAAATCAGAAAGTAGAATGTGAAATAACTGGAGAAGAAAGACAGGAAGTGGGGAAAACATCAGTTTGTCAGCACAATAATCTGGGTTGGAAATAGTGAGAGCCTATTTTAAAACCTCTCCAACATTAAGGATGTTCCCTTTTCTAAGATAGGCCTACTTTGATTCTGTATAAAAAATAATAAGACAAAGTTTTCAAGCACTAAGGGACACTTTGAAATTAGCCAAACGTTTGTTCTGTAATTCCTTTTGTTTTTTACTCAAGGCAACAGTTAGATGTTAGCAACCTTGCTTTTGTACCCTTTTGTCTACATAGGGTATATCAAAAGCTTAAGCAGCCTAGGAGCCACTGAGGAGATGTGGCAACTCCTCCTGAATAGGAAGATATGGAGGGCTTTGCTCACCATGCACATCCAAGTTCAGTGACAGGTGTTCTAACTACTTTTATTACCTCCCTTGGGGCAACAAGGGTGGCAGAAATGATTGACCACTCATATTGTCATTTAAGGCTGGACCCAGGTGGAAATGCCTCTCCATTCTCTAGTAGCCAGATTAAAATGAGCAAGCAAAATTTCTGGATAGGGAGGTTTATCACAGGATTTTAGTGAAAATTAAATGCAACATATATAACTTTATGTATAGATTGTCTTCTAGGAAATTTGTAGACAGATCCTGTTACTGCCTTACATTACCAAGTCCATTTGTTTTCTATAAGAGAGGGAAAATATCATTAATTTGATGGCTAGGATGAGATAGAGATGTCCTCATTCTATTAAGGGAAATTTAACTAGGAGCCTCCAAAAATAAAGCCAGAAATAAGGCAAGGTCAATGGAGTTGGAGAAAATAGATTAGATTTGAGCATTAGTTTGTTGAGTCCACTCGGACCTTGGCATTTAGTTAGATGTGGGAAGTGAAACTGTTGGTTCTAAACTATCTATAGAACAAAACCCACATCCCTCATTGGAAGCACGTCACGATCTGGCTCAATCCACCTTCTAGCCTCAGGTCCACCCACTGCCCACCTCATGGTCTGTGTTCAGTGGTCACCAGGCTACTAAACACACCATGCTCCTTAATGTCTGTGGGACGCAATGTCCTCTTGAATAAGAATGTCCTTCCCCACGACTGTCCCCCTCTGGTGAAATCCTATGCATCCCTAAACCTAGCCTCAAAGTCACCTTCTCTACTTAAGCCCTTGTTGACTCCCTGTCTACCTCCTGTAGGCAGAATTAACCGCCTCACTCTCTGGGCCACCTCGGACTGTGTTCATATGTATAATGCTCATCATAGTATACAGAGGTGAATATTATTCACATCCGTCTTTCCCACTACACTGTGAGCTCTCAAAGAAAGGTGGTCTAATTCCTTTCATACTCCAAGCTCCTAGCACAACCTTGGCACATAATATGAAATAGAACAATACTTCTTAAAGAAAAGGAGAGAGAGGAATTACAGTCAAAAGGCTGTTGTAATAATCCAGACAGAACGTCTCATACATATGAGCCTATATTATATATAGAAGGTGGGACTGGGAATAGAAATTCAAAATTATTAAAATAGAATAGTAGATTGGATGTGTAATTAAATGTAGGGACTGAGAGAGGAGAAAAACTTGAAGATGATTCTGACCATGTTTTCTGGCCAATAAGACTGAGAGATCCTAGAGGATATTGTAAACATAGGAAGAAGAGGGAAAGGGAAAGGAAGTTAATTTCTGTTCAGACTTTTGAACTTAACATGAAGGGGGATTTTAGAAGATTGTTGTGTATTCAGAACTGAAACTAAGTTCAGGGCTTACAGCATAATCATAGAAACTATGAAGTGGATAATATTGAAGGGAAAAGAACCAATAACTGTATTTGGGGTTTTGTCTCTAAGAAATGGGGAAAAGAAGAGAAGGAAGTGAAAGGAATCTGTTGAGAGAGCAGGTGAAGTGATCCAAGAAAAGGCAGTGCCATGGGAACCAAGAAAGGAGACCAAAAGTGAAGAATGTTGAGTCTGAGCCAGAGAAGGACTGATGGAGCCATTGCCACTGTAGCCTCAGAGAGGGCAGCTTCACTAGAACAATGGCAGCAGAATGCAGATGGAGCCAGCGGGGAGAGGAGGTGAGGAGAGTGAGTGCAGCCTGCTCTCAAAAATATTAATCTTAACAGGGCTGAGGGATCTTGCTATACATCCTATAAATCATTTCTAGTTGTGACCTACATTGTCTTCTAATTGAATGTTGGCTTAATCAAATTTCATTAAAGTTTCAACTGCCCACAGCTACTAAGATAATTTTTGCTTTTTAAATTTAAGACATTAAAAATAGAATCTCTGTATAAGCCTGGGGTTGGGATGGAGAAATAGCTCGATGATTCATTTATCCTCTCTTTGAAAGTATATCATTTAAATCGCATTATGAATCAACTAATTTAGGGGGTTTTATCCTAATAAGATAAACCCAGAAGACCTTAAAGAGTTCTTGGGGTGCGGGGAGGAGGCACTACCATTAAATCTAGTTGGAATTGCATATGTCCAGCTGCTGTAGGGCTGGGGTCAGGGTTTAATTGTGAGCCCTACATACTTGAAGCCATCATTTCTTACTTGGCTTTCTCCTCCTGTCACTGTAGATTGCAGGCTGTATTGTTTAATGTAGCAAAGGGAGAATTGAAATGTCTGCCTTCCTCGCAGTTGGGTACTTTTTATTGTCTCATCCCCTATTTATTACTGAGGAGTTCTGGACTTTAGATCATAATCAGTGAAGCTTGTGGCTCTCTTTATCCAGTGCCATGCCCAGCTCTGGGCAGGTTTATTCTATTGAATTTCAAATTGAAGACCTGTGTGTGTTAGCCAATTATATTTTAAATACATTTTCTGAACCGGTTTTAGGAAGTTTATTAAAATCCAGTTAAAAAGCAGGCTTTTCAGAGATCAAAGATATTAATTACATAATACATCTCACTCTGTCAGTGGCTTTTTAGAAACTATACTAGATAGATTTCTGCAAAAGAAGTGTTTCTCTCCCAGGGGAAGAAACAGGAGTCCCAGGTGAAAGAAGTTTGAAAGAGCTAAGAAACTTGAGGAAAGAGACTTCTGCTTCTAGTAATCGCAGATGAGGCAATTCCTGCTGAAAACCAATTTTAAGAAAAGCTGTAGTTTATATGTAATATATTTATTTAGACATAATTTACGTATGTATTTTGTTTATTACTTGTTTACATGTTAGCATCTCCCTGCTAGAATATAAGCTACAGGAAGGCAAGAATGTTTGTTTTGTTCAATGATATATCCCAAGCACCTGGAACTCTATCTGGTACATACCAACTGCCCCATAATTATTTGTTGCATGAATCAATAAATTATCTAAAACCTCTTAAGTCCTGGGAGCATTTCACTTTACTACCACAGGGTAGCTCTCTTTAGTGCCCCGTCCTGTCCCTGCCCCTTTACTCTCTCAGACCTCTTTGTTCTCCCACCCAGTGCACTTCTACTGCATCTCACTCCCCCAGAGAACACAACCCAAGGGAGAGTAGCCCATCTCCTGTTCCACTGTTTAGTGAAAAGAATCCTCCATTGTCTTTTGTTCATTCTCTCCCCATGCAGTGGACATGAGAGAAAGATCCCATAGCCCTCTTGGTCTTGGTTGGAACAGGAGGAAAATGAAAACTGGACATCCATCTTAGGACTTAATCCTACGGAGACCACAAGCTGGAAGAGGCACTCAATACTAGCATGGCTTCTGTGGCATTTTGATGAGTAGTATGGGCTCCACACTGAAATATTAATATCTTATTGTTTTGATGATGATGATGATGTTCATTGGCCCAGGGCAAAAGGTAAAGGTTGTGTTATAAAGCTGATCTATTCAATATCTGTGGATGTTAACTCCACCCCATCCCCTTATTGAACAATTACGATGCCTATAAATATTGTATTGAGAAAGAAAAAAAAAACTAAGGCAGAAGATATCATATTACCTGTCCATATGTGACATTTTGGCTGGCCAAGCCATAATGGCCAAAGAGGAGCAACTGTCAAAATTTAAGTGGGGTTAGAAAAGAAGAGAGGAACTTGCACGTTTGCACCTACAAGGACCCTCTTTTCTCCTCTGGTAGCCATGGAAACCACTCCTTGGACCTCCTTTCAAGAGACTCTGCATGGGGAGCACAGTTGACTGACAGCTCCAATTGCTGCTCCTTCGAGTCCACCATGGCACTCATGCCCACGCAATGTTTCCTCCAGGGTTCTCCAGGTAGAGATGGAGCAGGTGGGGTTGCCAGAGGCAGGCCATCAGGCCATCTTGACTGATGTGGGACTTCTAATGCTTCCAGGTCTGAAGGCTCACCTGCCACTTCCTGCTCCCTCCTCCTTTACCCTTCACAGGAGTTTCCTCCCCATAAATTTCTTGTGTATCTAGTCCTGTCTTGGCATCAGCTTCTTGGAGGACTTGAACTGATATGCACTCAACAGCCAGTAAATCCTGCTAATTCACAAAATCCTTGATTATCAGTACTAAAGAAAGACACTGGGGGTGAAGATGTCATCTTCTAAAAGACTTACTGGGGATAATCTACCACCAAATGTAGGTGGCAAATGCCATCTTTGATCACATAATGGAATCAATGAAGGAGGTTATTGATCTGGTTCAGAGGTGACTTTAGAATGTCCCAAACCCTTTAAATATGTGTGTATTGAGTATGTGTGCAATTCTCCTTGAAGAACATTTATACCTTTCATCTCATTAATCTACAAAATTATCAGCAGTGGCAGCTAATTGTCAGTTAACTAGGTAGTTGACAAGTCACATTAACATGAAATCTGTGTTTCATGTAAATAAAAAAAATAAAATGACTTATTTTATGCAATAATAGTCATGCCTCCATTTTTCACTCCAAACTAAGTGAACTTTAGTCATCCTAGGAGCTCTGCAAACTAAGCCTCTAGTACAAAAACAATCAGTACTGCATTCTTCATCTAATTCTGAACTTTAAAAGAAAACATGCTTTAATTTAAATAGTTATTAACATGAAAGAAGTAAGTAATTGAGAAATCGGTAGGTTAATTTTTCATATTAGGGAATTAAATCTCAGTAGAAGATGCTTCAACTCTTAGCCCAGACAATGCTTAAAGTTAATCCACTGGAAGATAGTGGAAATACAAAGCACCTCTAGCAGCTGTTCTCAAGGAGAAGGTTTATGTCAGCACCGCTTACATCAACTATACTCAGAACATTTGTGTCAGCAGCATAAATGCTGGCATGTCAGCATCTCTGTTTTATACCTACCCCCCAAAATGTGCATAGTTTAATTAGACCAAATACAGAGAATGGTTTGTTTATAGCTCATCCTGGAAGTAATAGCTTCCTAAGGGAAACATTCCTGCCCCACCCTGGGGAACCATCTGATATTTGTCAGTGAAAAACCAACCCCTCATGGCTTGTTCCCTACAGGAAACTCTTCTCAGAAAGTAATAACTTTACTCCTGGATCTAGTAGAATATTTTTCGTGAGTTGGGACCAATAATTTGTCTGGACACCCACAGACATCTGTGCTCTACTACTACCAACTTCAGCTAAGCACTCTGAATTCCTCCCTGTGCAGGTTTATCTTGTTCGATGCTCAATTTCAATGTGAAAAAGAAAGCTGCAGAGAGAACTAGCAGAATAACAGAACAGCCCTATAATCCACTGTTAGGTTAAAATAAGTGAGGCCTTCAAAGGGACAGCAGGATCCTTGGAAGGGAGAGTAGCTCCATGAGCAGAGAATGACTTAGGGACAAATAGAGAACTCACTTCCTTTCATCCTGGAATGTTTTTTGAGTTTGTTTGGTCCTTACCTTGGTAGAAAATTCTTGCTCAGTATTCTCAATGTCTCAGTTCCTAGTACTGAGTGATAATTTTAGGAAGCAGCTCAAGTTCATTCCTCAAAAACTAAGGGAAGAGATTTTGTTGAGTGGGGGAAGGTTAACAGTTGCATAGTGCATAGGTTGCTATCTTTTCAGTCACCAAGGGGAGAATTAAATCCAGTTAAGGTTTAGAAAATATTGAATCATTTGAAACCCTTTCTATGGAGAACAAGGTGCTAGGGATAAATGTCAGAGGAGTGTTAAAATAAGACTGTGTTAAGACTTTTGAAGAAGAAACCAGAGATCTCTCTATGACAATGACAACCAGATACTAACTTCTGACGAAACAGTCGCCACCTCCAGCTAAGCTCCTTCCTGACCACTAGCTGAGTTCCTTGTATTTCAGTTTCTACTGGCACCTTCTTTTTCTAAAAGGAGCAGTCACCTAAATCCTGAATTAAAACATTTGTTCTGAAACACACACACACACACACACACACACACACACACACAGCGATACTTGTAAAGCATTACTCTTCATTGCAGAGATATCATGGGGTAGTCAGCAAGTGTAATGTGGCCATCATAAATTCAGATCAAGTGAGGGCCCTTGTCTTGGGTTTTTGGATATATACTAAAAAATCTTTTTACCAGGGCTCTGAAAGAGACCCAGAAAGAAAAATAGAAAGCTTAACTTGGGGCTGCAAATGTCCTCACACAGTAGCAGTTAATGCTTCTGCAAATGCCTATGGCTATAACCCCACTGACTCTTAAAAAGAAAAAAAAAGTATACAAATCTTTTTTTCCAGTTTGACCAATGTCTGTTTCACATTTTAAAGATATACTTTCATAGTCATAATTCTGGAAAAGCCAGTTATGGACATGAGGATCAGAGTAAAATATATTAGGTGTCATATGTTACTTTGTTAACACAGAGTAATAATTTTTACTTGCACTGCATCTTTTTGAAAGATCACAAATTGCTTTACTGCTGTCACTACAGAGCCACTATTCAATCATTTTGAGGAATTATAAAGGACATAAAGAAACTTCTGAAGATGAAAGAAGGAAAATGCTTTTCCAATCTAATAAAAAAGGAAAAAGATGTGTCACAGGAAATCACAGATTGCTGGACCTTTATGAGTACCAGGGCAAATGATCAAACAAGCCCTTATAATACTACATAAGATATGTAGCAGTGACACAGCTTTCTGAAGAGCATCTTACTAACTAGGATTATGTGTGTGTGCTTTTTTTGAAGTAGTTTTAATGCCAATAGATTTCTGAGTCCATTGCATTGAATAAGTAACAAGGTGTCATGGACTGGGAATAAGAGACATGGATCTAGCCTTGTCTCTTCCCCACGTGACTCTGAGTAAATCACTCATCCTTTCATTTGTTGGACTCTCCTTCCATAAAATCATGTAATATTTCTTACTTGTCAACATCCCTTGGACTACAGCCCTTGAGAAGTTTAGGCCTGGGGCCCCAAATCCTCAGGCTATTTGTCTCTCTATTAAATGCCATCTAGGGTGGCTGCTTGGCTTGCAGGATACCCACTGCTGAAATGCATCTCTTTCATGCAGGAGTTTTGGGATGGAAAATGGCCATACCTGGACCTCAGGATCGCACTCTCCTTTCCTCTTGTACACTGCTGATTAGTGCAGACATAGACACTTTATTCAAACTCGGTTGATCAAATTCTCTCTCCCAGGACACTGAATGGAAAGACAGAAAGACGTACAATGATAGGAAATTGTCAGTCTAGAGGGTCACAAGACATTTTAAAATTGTGAAATATAATAGCATAGAGTAAAATAGATCAGAGGGCGGTAATCTTAGCATCTTTTCCCACCACTCACTGCAGTGGCTTCCTCACAGTGCGTAGTACTAGATGGGGCCAGCAGTGCTGGTCAGAGACTCCCATAGGTCCCATTTCCTATTCCTCCTTTTTGGAATGCCCCACTCTACAACCGTTCGCCCTCATGTAGGGTCAACCAGATGCCCCCAAATAGTTGAAACTCTGGCCAGTGGGGTCATCCTGGGGCCCTGTGGCTGGACCCTGGTTCCAGGAGGTGGCCTGGTGAGGGAATTACTCTTGCCGGCTGGCACAGGATTTCTTTTGCAGAATTGTATGAGATTGGGCTGCCAGAATAGTGTTGAGACACTGATTTGGGAGTGCTACACACCCTATGGGGTCCTGTCAGTGGGCATCACTAGTGGTAAGAATAAGGCTTGTTTTGTGAGACTTTCATTCATATATATAATTATGTAATTTCTATGTAAATATTATATAGATATATAAATATTTTGTATATAAAATTCTTACATAATAGAGAATTTTTATTAATATGTGTTGATATTATAAATTTATATTTATATATATTAAGTTGACATACAATACATTTCTTATTGTGAGTCATAATAAAATATGCTGCCCTTGGTGAACCACCACCTTCACCTAAAAATAGATTAATATATGTAAAACTAGTGTGGGTAAATGGCAGTAGCAACACATAATACAATTATAGTTTAATTATCTCAATCAAATCAATAACTTATGAAAGGCAGAAATGAAGAAGAAACTTTTTTTTTTTTTTTTTGGTAGAGACAGTTTCACCGTGTTGCCCAGGCTGGTCTCAAACTCCTGGCCTCAAGTAATCCACCCTCCTCAGTCTCCCAAATTGCTGGGATTACAAGTGTGATCCACTGCTTCCAACCGAAGGGGAAACTTCTATACCACGATATGCAATTGCCATTTATGCTGGTTTGGATTCATTCATGAGTCTAATAAACAGAATAGATGGATTCTTCCTTTGAGAACTGAGCAGAGCTAGAAACTCTAAGGTCAAAACAGGCAAGTCCTAATGGTGACAGGTCACCTAAACTGCAGTTCACAACTGCATTTCTTAAACAAAGCCCAACAAATTACCATTTCAGGGCCCTTGCAGGTGTCTGAGTCTAATCATTATTGCAAAGACTTCAGAGTTTAACCTTCTCATTTCACTACCTGTACCCTATCTACTATTTCAAATTGGCTTTTTAAAATTCTGTTATATTATTGATCAACAATGGAATTGTAAATTTCCATCATTTTATCATTTAAATAAGATCTTTTAATTCCATGTGAAAAATAAAATTAGTCGAGATAAGTGAACATCAAAATTTTAAACAGTTTTATATTTGCATGACTTCTAGAAATGTCAGATATAGCTTAAAATCTTTCTTAATCTATTCAATCAGTTGCATTGAGAGTCAACATGTTAGCCCTGTCAGTGCCTGGTCAAGCCTGAAAGAATCAAACTCTATGACTCAAGGCTAAAAGGAAAGTTTTAATGCTTGAAAACCTGTCAACTGCCTCATGATTTTTTCCAGTTTATGGAAATCATTATAGTAGTATTCTTTCCTCTTAAAAATTCATCCATGACTTACTGTCAGATATACTTCCTTCAATTAAAGGTTATTCTTCCTCATAATGTTTCCAAATGCATACTCCTTTTTTCTTTAAAAAGCTTCAAGTTATTAACAAGTATAAAAAAATAGGCTTTATCATCACATTCGTTGACAGCTAGCATCACTCTCCCTGCTGTTTTTTTTCTTTAAGACACCACAACCTTTTTATGTTCACGCTGTCTGTGCATGTTTATGACATCTATCACCAGGAACCATACCTGCTAGGGTAAAGATATGGCACCAGAGGAGGGAGAGACATCGCCAGCCAAATCCCTTGTAGATTATGTCAGAGTGAGTGATGATGGTGGAAGCCTGTAGAAGAACAGCAGAACCTGTGGGATCCTAAGATGCTTTATCTACATCAGAATTTGTGCAACCCTCCTGTGCTGAGCATTTTCTTGAACATTTTTCATATTCAACATAAGCCAAAATTCCATCTTTAAGCCAGATCATTCCACATCCCAAGTTACTCAACTAAGGCTATTTTTCAATGTTTTTGTCATCTTGTTCGATGGGTACACGATGATTTGGTATTTAATTCTGAGTCCACTCGATATTTTTAGCAGAAGATCACAGTCTTTTAAGAAAGTGACATAAAGAATGGGAAAATGCAAGTATTGGCTTGTCATTGTCACTATCTTTTTTTCAGAGAAGGGAACTCTTGAGATCTCTTTTGCCTTTATTCCAAATTTCTGAGCATAGCTGCAAAGTTCTTCATGATTTGTCTCACCTCCCATTATTGCTTAGTTCTGGTAGTTCTTTAAAATCTACCCTACATGTTATCCATTGCCTACCACGTTCAGTTTGCAGTCACCTGCTCCAGGTGTACATGAGCAGGGAGGTGTGTGTAGCAAACAGCCATTTTGCTATGGTTTAGCATTTATTGCCACTTCAAAGTTATGCTTTTGGCATTATCTCCAAATGATATTATATAGAGAGTCACATAAACACACTGACAGGGTATGTCATCATTCAGCTATTCATCACACAGTCTTAAACATGCACTATTGGTGGCCCATACTGCCTGGATATCTTCTTTAGGGACAGCATTTTTATGTGTGTGTGCTAGTGGTTTATATTTGTTAAATGTGGCAACTCAAAATATAACACAATTTTTATGAATTTTTTTTGACATTTCCTCAGTTTTTAATAATCTAGGACCCCCGACTGTAAGTCGTCACAAGCTCTGTAATATTTCTTTTCTTCAACTTTTAAGTTCCAGGGTACATGTGCAGGATGTGCAGGTTCGTTACATAGGTAAATGTGTGCCATGGTGGTTTGCTGCACAGATCAGCCCATCACCTAGGTATTAAGCCCAACATCCCTTAGCTATTCTTCTTGATGCTCTCCTGTCCCCCCTCCCACCACACAGGCACCAATGTGTGTTGTTCCCCACCCTGTGTCCATTGTTCTTATTGTTCAGTGCCTATTTATAAGTAAGAACATGCAGTGTTTGGTTTTCTGTTCCTGTGTTAGTTTGCTAAGGATAACAGCTTCCACCTCCATCCATGCCCCTGCAAAGGACATGACCTCGTTCCTTTTTATGGCTGCCTAGCAATCCATGGTGTATATGTACCACATTTTCTTTATCCAGTCTATCAGTGATGGACATTTGGATTAACTCCATGTCTTTGGTATTGTGAATAGTGCTGCAGTGAACATACAAGCGCATGATTTATAGAATATAGAATGATTTATATTTCCTTGGGTATATACCCAGTAATGAGATTGCTGGGTCAAATGATATTTCTGCCTCTAGGTCTTTGAGGAATCACCACACTATTTTCACAATGGTTGAACTAATTTACATTCCCACCGGCAGTGTCAAAGCATTCCTTTTTCTCTGCAACTTCACCAGAGTCTGTTGTTTCTTGACATTTTAATGAGAGCCATTCTGACTGGCACTAGATGATATCTCATTGTGGTTTTGATTTACATTTCTCTAATGACCAGTGACGTTGAGCTTTTTTTCATATGTTTTTTGGCCACATGAATGTTTTCTTTTGAGAAATGTATGTTCATGTCCTTTGTTAACTTTTTAATGTTTTTTTTTCTTGTAAATTTGTTAAGTTCCTTGTAGACTCTAGATAGTAGACCTTTTTCAGATGGATAGATAGCAAAAATTTTCTCCCATTCTGTAGGTTGTCTGTTCACTCTGATAGTTTATTTTGCTGTGTGGAAGCTCTTTAGTTTAATTAGATCCCCTTTGTCAATTTTTGCTTTTGTTGCAATTGCTTTTGGCATTTTTGTCATGAAATCTTTGCCTGTGCCTAGGTCCTGAATGGTATTGCCTAGATTTTCTTCTAGGTTTTTATAGTTTTGGGTTTTACATTTAAGTCTTTAATCCATCTTGAGTTAATTTTTGTCTAAAGTGTAAGGAAGGGGTCCAGTTTGAATTTTCTGCATATGGCTAGCCAGTTATCTATCCTGCACCATTTATTAAAAAGGTAATCATTTCCTCATTGCTTGTTTTTGTCAGCTTTGTCGAAGATCATATGATTGTAGGCCTCTGGTCTCATTTCTGAGTTCTCTATTCTGTTCCATTGGTCTATATGTCAGTTTTTGTACCAGTACCATGCTGTTTTGGTTACTGTAGCCTGGTAGTATAGTTTGAAGTTGGGTAGTGTGATCCCTCCAGCTTTGTTCTTTTTGCTTAGGATTGTCCTGGATATTCAGGCTTTTTTATGGTTCCATGTGAATTTAAAAATAGTTTTTTCTAATTCTGTCAAGAATGTCAATGGGTAGTTTAATGGGAATAGCATTGAATCTACACATTACTTTGGGCAGTATGGACATTTTCATGATATTGATACTTCCTGTTCATGAGCATGGAATGCTTTTCCGTTTGTTTGTGTCATCTATGATTTCCTTGAGCAGTGGTTTGTAGTCCTCCTTGAAGAGGTCCTTCACTTTCCTTGTTAGCTGTATTCCTAGGTATTTTATTCTTTTTGTAGCAATTGTGAATGAGAGTTCTTTCATGATTTGGCTCTCTGACAAGCTCTGTAATATTCTTTTATACATCCCTGCTTTGGTATTTGCTGTTTTCTTTCTTTTCTTTGCTGTTCTTAAAGAAGTAGCTCCAACTTACATCCTACCCTTGGGCAGAATTGCTTTTCTCTCACAGTACATATCTTTATTGCAAACCACCCCATTATGCATTGTGTGTCTGTATGTGTGCCTATCTGTCCCTCCCATACACTGCTCAGTGTTACCTTTGTTAGATGTGAATCACCAGAACAACAGATGCTTTTCATTCACCTGCTAAAAAGACCAGCAGGTATCCAGGACCCACTGAGCACTGTGGCTAGGCAGCATCTCTCAGAATGTCTGCATACTTCAATTGCCCCTTTTGAGTTGCATAGTAATCAAAAGTCTATTGCATTTGTTCTCACATCTTTATAACAGTTTTACTAGTTATGATAAGCAAGTAATCTCATTAAATATTAAACAAACATAAAATGAGCACAGCAAAAATGAAAGTTTTATTTCTGTGAAATGTATTCTGAAAGCTTTGGGAAAACTTGATAAAGGAAATCACAAAACAAACAAAAATATCCTGACAAATTAATTATGGGAAATACCATTATACACAATTGAAGGGAAATTTTTAAACATCCAGATGGATTCTTCACTCAGATATATTGCAAGTATCATTAAATCTTTGCTCCATTTTAAAGAAGTCACAGTTGAAAAGTATGATGCATGGATGGGTCAGTTTTTATCAAGAAGAACAAGCTGTAGCTCCAAACAACAGTGTCAGTTTAATAATTTAAAAAAAAGATCCTGGCTTTACATCACAAGATTGGCAAATCAATTAAAGGTATAATAAAAATGTTTAAGAAATATCCCTTTTAACCTTCTTTAACCCATGTTTAAACATGAACTAGCAAATCCTTGACAAAAGGCCTTCTACTGAACTTTACCCTGTCTCCTAACCTTTGCTGCTAAGAGTGAGTAAAAATAACAGAGTCAAACTGAAACTAAGGAAAGGAGGAAACCCCTCTCTGATGGGGAAACTGAAATGTGACTGACATGCTACCTGTGACTATGAGTCACCTTATGGAGGACACTGGGGTAAATGAGGTATGAGAGATGGAGACAGAAAGCCTGCTGATTTGGACCCCTGAGAGTTGCTCCCAAGACCAGGCACACACCTTTTGTTCTAGAATTAATCACACAAACAGCATCTTTTCCTTTTTATTTGAGTTCTTTAAAGCTGGGTTTGTTTCATGTGTAAACAAACAAGACCGGGTAATAATAATTTTAAAACCTCTACCTTACATATTAAGGAATTACTATGGAATCTTTTAATTGACCCAAAAATATTACTGGATGTAATATTACTGGACATCTCTTCTGTGCCAGGCTCTGAGGATGGAACAGTGAACAAATCAGACAGTCCGGGTTCTCCTGGAACTTACAGGCTAGTGCCCCAAGGGCTGGAAAGGATTGCAGATATATATTTTGTATTTACATCACACTAATATTTGTATCATAATATTATTGCATTCATTATGTGTTAATAGTTGACAGATCCAACATGGACCTTGAAGAACATGTGAATATTTTCAAGGGAGTAGCCATAAACCTTTATTTGAATGCCAGTGAAAATAATTACATACTCCAAATCATATTCCTGTGCCATTGTCAAATTCAGAATTTGGTGTTAAAGGAACTGTAAGACTTAACAAGCAAGGCAATTTCTTATGTTCTCATGATACAAATATATAGAGAGTAGCCCCACGTGGATTGGTTACTGCTGGGTGACAGTACTTGTAGAAATTCAGAACTGGAAGATGCCTACATGTAAGGAGTGTGAAGAACAGAGGAATTAACTGGTTCATTCATGGTCAGCCAGACTGCAAATGTGGCAGTTCCCAGCCAGGTGTTCACAGTAGGTCACCATGGCTTGAAAATATGTCACAAGTAGTTTGTTACTCATAATAAAAGAGTAACAGTTGAAAATTATTACTTTTTTTCAGAAATTAGATCACATTTTGATTATTCCTATAACATGCTCATTTGCATTCCAAGATTCATTCTTGAGCAGAAGAATGAATCAGCTTATTCCCTGCTTGTGAGCCAGAAATTGCACATTCCCTGGGAAGTTCCTGAGAGAAGATTGTGCAAACCGAGGTTACGAGTCATGTTTCTTGTCACTGGACACATAAAGGCTAAGAATCTTGTGACCTGGTGGAAAATCCAGGACTAGAACCCAGTATTTTGAGTTTTTTAGAGAGTCTTGTTTTTTAATCAACTTATAATAAAGGGTAGGATGGACTCTCAATCTTTAAATATGGAGGAGAAAATTTAACATGTGATTATTAGTGGCCCACGAGAAATAAACCCACATCAAATGAAGCTCAGTTTGTGGTATCTCTAGAACACTTTCTTCCTCTGTTCCTCAAAGATCTGGTGGTAATTTTAAAACCTTGTCTAACTTCTGTTTGTTGTAGAGGAGGTTAATACTTTGCCCAAACTTGGGCTTCATCACATGGTATTAGAACATGCCAACTAATGCCCTATTCAAATACCTCAAATAAAATAAAATAAAATATCATTGATTTGGGCCCAGTGCTATAAACTTCAGTTTCCAAAAGCTTTCAGTGTCAATTACTTCCCATAGCAAAGCAGTCCACAAGCCTCTTGATGATGTTTAGAGTCTTATATCATCAATTGCAGGCCTGTTTATACTTCACAATAAAATCTAATTTCTCGTACTTACTGTCAGAGTTAGGCAGCCTTATTGAATTGAATTCCTAAAGAAAATGATGATCTCAGAAGTAAACTTGAACTTATTAAAACAAGCTTGCAGTCCAAATTTCCAGCAGCAATGGGGCTTCCTAATTCAGTTAATTCAATACATGCTACTCAGCAGTTTGAAGGATATACTTTCCAGAATATAGTGAGATCTCACCCTATTAGAGGTAAAAAGTGAATTGAATGCAATTCATACAATATTAATAACTTGCTCTACTTTACAGCTTAGTAATAAAGTTATTTATGCTCCCAGAGGCGTTTCATGACATTCACAGTAGAAAGATGGCAGTAGACAGGTGGGCTGGGCCTGTGACATTTAGAAATAGCAGAACTGTGACACCTTCCTGTGAGGCTACATAGGATGATGGCCAAGGAGAATGACCCTGGTACAAAATCTTTATAAGCAGCACACTGAAGAAGAGACATAGACTCTAAATAAACTTCTATCCTACCTTTTGGAACAAGTGAATAGCAAAAATTGTAATTTAGATGAACATAGTCTGGACATAGATCAACTAGCTACCACACCACAAATTTATCTTTCCCAGATCAACTGTATCCTTTCAAGATTTAAATTACACATTTCGCCTAGCTCCTCACACATTAACATAAGTTATACTCAACCTCCACTATACACATAGATGAAATTTTTGTCTTTAATTATGTACTGTTTTATATTCTTTTATCCATACTATTTTCTATTGTTTCCTATGTTCAGTTCCAAGCACCTAGAAAACGATAATCACATCTTATGCAGTGCTCCCCTATCTCCCACAACACCTGCCACAGTAGTAAATAAAAGACCAATGCTGAAGAAGTGTTTGTAAATAAAGAAAGAAGATGCCAAAGTTTTATCTGATAATCATTTTCCATGATCAGATGTAGGATGTGCAAACAGAAGGAAGTGGCATCATAAATAATTCAAAGTAGCAGATAATTGGAAGGTCATTTCTATTTTACTTTGAAATGCATTAAGGCTGGCCACAACTTTAAACAACAGCCCACTTATAGTCTCATCAGCAAATGATGAGTCATGTGCTGTGATAAACTAAAAGATGAAGAGGAATGGAACACAGTTTCCGTATTTTGTCTACACAACATTTATCACCCACTTCCTTCTAGCATCCTATTAGCCTTCTAGGTAATTAGCTCCCCGATTATGTTCAATCTTGTTGGGAAAGTAAATCCAGGCATCACTGGATTCACTAATTTTAACTAATTTCTTCAACTAATTTCAACTAATTTCTCTGTTATTACCTGGCATAACTAAGGGCTGGTACATCACTTATACTTGGCCAATCAGACACACTTTTCCAGGGCTTGAACTTTAGGCCATGTTATGCCAAGGCAGAAAGGAAAAAGGACATTCCAGGGCTCATAACATACATGGGGCATCCATCAGGTCTTGCTTCTAAGACTTAGTGGAAATTCTTAGGTCCCATAAATTCCAAACAGGTTCTGGTAATCTGAGTTTTTAATGAATTCACTTGTAATAGAATATAATAGACTTATTTTCTATTGTTTGCAACCAAAACACCCTAACTGCCCTGTTGGGCCAATGCTTCCCTGAGAAATGTGGAAGTGGAAAAACAGGACACAGACAGCGTAGCACAAGGGTAGAGTGTGAGAAGATATGATGAGTAGAATCAGGGTCAGAGAAGCCACATAAAGTGTGGGAAGGTTATCATTGTGCAGTAGTCAAAGGTAGGGGAGGGTCAGAGGAGGCTGATGCATAGGGTAAGGAAAAGGCCAAGAATCATACAAAGAAGCAGATATGCCTGAAGGATGAGACCCTGCGACCTCTAGGAGGACTGGCTCCCAGTGGCAGTTCAGTTCCCAACGCTTTTTCTCAGAAGAGCCCACTGTGTATTTCCCTGGATTTTCATTCATTTAATAATCTCCTTTGTACTCTTCCATGGCTTTTTAAAACGAACATATAGTGATTAAGTTGTGAGCTCTAGGATCCAACTGCCTATGTAAGTAAGACTCTCACTCTATCACTTATTTAAGTTTTCCTATCTGTAAATTGAGGCTACTAATAGGTACTTCATACCTCATAGGGTTTTTATGAGGTTTCAATAAGATAATTCAAGCACACTGCTCAGCCCAACACCATTCCGATATATCAGAAACAAATCTCATGCATCTCTTTAAATTATCTCTACCTCTCACCTCCTAGACAGCCCACATTTCTGGAAATGCAGGATCCTCACCCTTGGCCAACCCAGGTAGCTGGGCAAAACACCCTGAGCAGCCACTGAAGCTGCCTTGTGATGCAAGCTAGAAGTGACAGGGAGTTGAACCCCCCATGGAGCAAACTCTGATCAATGGGAAAGGGATAAGAGGGAATCAGGTAGATATAGTCCCCTCCCTGCATCCCTGGACTGCTGCAAGGTACAGTTTCTCCCTTTGACCTCTCTGGAGAAGTTCCTGGTAGACCGGCTGAATGACTTGGCCATTCTGGAAGCAGGAGCCAAGGTGGTAATGTTTCCCATCCCACTGATTTCCCATCTGTCTTTGCGTAGTTTCCCTTCTTACTCATTCTGGCTCCCCTAGGTTTGCACCTGTCATATACAACTCAGATTTTAAAATCCCTGTTCACTTCAATCTCTACTTTCCAGGTAACCCAGTCCAAGACAATATTAATAGTGTTATTATCATCACTTGAACTAGCCAAATTGGGCATCCGTTACTTGAAACCAAGGGAGTCAGGATAAAGCAATGAGGCAGAGTGTGCACTGTCACGCCGAGCTCCATACTGATAAACAGGTGAGCTACTCACCAACTCAGCACTGTGACTAGAATATATTTTTTAGAAGGTATTGAAGGCTTGAAGATAACTTTAAAGAGTAAAACTAGTCGCTTTTAAAAATAGTTACTAATAAATATAATAATATGCAACAAGATGCTTTATATTAAAAGCATAGATGTTTCATATATAAATTCTCAAATGAAAACTTTAGAGAAATACTGAATCAGATAAACTTTTTTTTATTTTTCTCCCTTATGTAAATATTATTAGGCCATTTACCAGTTTCTTCCCCATACATTGATGCTCATAGTTTTATTCTCTTGTAAAGAAATATTTGCAGGATGATAATTTGCATAGAAGATAATATTATGAAGTGTTGAACAATACCCTTATATTATAATAGCTGATGAGAAAGCTAGTGCACTTATACGCTATATGTCAGAGATGTTTTAAAATATAATATATGTCTTATGGCTGAAAGGAAATAAAAAGGTTCACAATAGTAGTTGTTGGCTGGTAAGCAAAAGATAATCTCAAAGTGGTGATTATGACACAGACCCTGGACTCAGGCAGAACAGGCTCAAATCCCTGCTCACTGCATTCTAATTTTGTGTCCTTGGCCAAGTTACCCTATAGTTCTAAGGTTTGGTTTTCCATTCTGCATTATAGTATATATAGGAACAATATAGATAAAGGTTAGATGTATAGATATAGAATAAAATAGATACAGGAATAGGGTGGGATAGGTGAACCCAACTTAAAGGGCTGCTGGGAGAAATGGAGTCTTCCTCATCTCAGTAAATATTACCATTACTCACCTACTTGCTCATCCTTGATTTCATTCTTTCCATAGCTTTCTCTTATCACCCACATCTAATCCATCACAAATTTCATCAGATCTCCCTCCAAAATGCATCCTGCATCCATTCTCCTCTCTTCTGCCTCCAATGCTCACATCAAAGTTACCATCATCTCCTGCCTGAGGTACAGAAATAATGTCTAATTGTTCCACTCTTCTCCTTATATAATCTGTTTTCCACACTGCAACCAAGTGATCTTTTATAGCATGAATTGCATCATGTTACTCCCTGCTTAAAGCCTCCAAAGGCTCTCCACTGCACTGAGACTGAGTGGAGAGAATTACCATTGCCCACAAGTTCTCGTCCTCATCCCCAACTCATGGCACTGCCCTCTAGCACATATGCTGGCCTTCCTTCTATTCTTCAAACAGATGCAGTCCATTCCTCCTTCAGGATCTTCATGTCTCCCCTTCCTCCTGCTTAGAATGCTCTTCTTTCAGGTCTTTGCATGACTTTCTGCTTCTCAGCATTCAGGTTTGTTTTTAAATCCTGCCTTCACAGGCAGACCTAGCCACCTGCCCCTTAGCAGATCCCACCCCATCACCCTATTCCTTAATGTTGTAATGTTTCTTCAAATGACTTCCTGCTATCTGTAATTATCTTATTGATTTAGTTATTTACTGCCTGTTTACCTAATTTGAATTAAGATCCACTAGAGCAGAGACATTTTCTATCCTGTTTACCACACTACTCTCAAGGCTGAATAGGTGAATGTGTGCAGTGCTTGGTACATAGTCTTATTTCCCTGGCACTTCCCAAGGCTGGGATCATGAATTGCTTTTATGATGGAAGAAAATATAAGCTACTTTTTCTTTGACCAGGAAATGCTGGTTTTTTGTTTTTATCTGGAGTCTCACTCTGTTGCCCAAGCTGGAGTGCAGTGGCATGATCTCGGCTCACTGCAACGTCTGCCTCCCAGGTTCAAGCAATTCTCCTGCCTCAGCCTCCTGAGTAGCCGGGATTACAGGCACACGCCACCACACCAGGCTAATTTTTTTTTTGTATTTTTAATAGAGACAGGTTTCACCATGTTAGCCAGACTGGTCTCGAACTCCTGACCTCAGGCAATCTGCCCGCCTTAGCCTCCCAAAATGCTGGGATTACAGGCGTGAGCCACTGCGCCTGGCCAAAATGTTGTTTTTTTAAAGTCATCTGTCCTAATTCGAAGTACTTGGAATATTTCTTTCTCTATTGTCCCTTAGTAGCATCTTTGAATTTCACAATAAAACCTAGTTTCCAAAATACCAGGACAACGTGAGGTGTTCCTGGAGTGGAGGCAGAATATGTACAGATAACATGGAGGGACAGCTGGCTGGAATAGACAGTCCTAGGGTGGGTGTCCAGAGGTGTGAGGTCACAGAGAACATTGTCAGGACCTGCTGTCGAGCTGGCTCATGAGCTGGTGACTATGGAAAATGAAAGCAAGTTCACGCTGACAATGCCCGTAAAGAGCTTTGTGAAGCCATGACAGTGCTCTTCAATTTTAACATGAAGAAGAGGGCATGTGAGTTAGCAAGACTGGCCAGAGGCCAGAGCCCGGGGCCAGCAAACCTTTCCCTGCTGTGAGGTGGGCAAGTTAGTTGCTCCAAAAACAAGATAAAATGATTGAGTTCTTTTCTCAAGCGGGAGTCGGAGTTTATCTGCTCTGAGGTACGCTGCATTTAAATCCTTACTATCTGTTCTTTGAGAAATACCCAACTTCTCAGGTGATTGTAGACCTTTTCAGAGTCATCACTCAGGCCCTCAATGCCTTAGAGAGAGTTTCTGATTTGCCTCCATCGGTGTCTCCTTTGCCGGGGATCTGCATTCCCTTGACCTGACCTCAGGGTCAGGAACTGGGGAAGAAAATGAGTTGGAGGTGGCCATAAGGCCCAATCTCAACAAACATGGCCAAGGAACCAGATACTCCTGGCCAAGGCCCTGAAAGAGAATAAGGCTAGTGGAGAACCTGCGTTCATTCTCCAAGTAACTGAAATAATGCCTGAACCCAAGCCTGAGTGATCTGAAAAAGTCCGTGAAAGTCCTAGAAGCAAAGAAAGCAAACTAGTTAACTTTCAGGAGATGCTCAGTCTTCCTCCCAGACATCTTCTGATGTCATACACAGCTGGCCACCTGGTGCAGTGAGCAGTGAGTCCCTATGATATAAACCCCAGGATGGTCCAGATCCTGCCAAAGTAATTAGCTTATATCAAAGAAGTAGATTCAAAATTAAAACAAAGGGATTTTAAATGTGAAACTGTAAATGTAAAAGTGCACAGCTGCTTATACTAAGTGGGTAAACTGCTTTGAAATTGGTTCTGAATTGGCTTTGGGTTCATAATGGGACTTGATTATTTCCACATGGTACTTAGCAGGCACATAAAATTCCACTAATATGAAAGAAATGTATTTTAAATGTTGGTTGATGGAGGAAAGAATACTTTTATATTACAAAAAAAAGACAAAAGGGAATTCTATGGCAACTGAAGTATATCATCTCAGAATACTGATTTAAAACTCTTCCAGTAAGATAGAATAACTTAAAATGATCATTTAATATTAATATGTATCAAGTTGATTAGGATGGAATCCTTTTTGGTTTGTAAGAAACTGATTTAGACTTTTAAATAAACTTGAATTATGTTTGAAACCTTCTGGGAAAAATATTTACCAGAGATTGCCAAGACTCTTTGACCTAGGTATCATTTGCTATCTGGATTAATTTCCAACATTTAGGTCCTTCTGCATTTGCACTGTGGCTTGTCCATCCTCATCTTACTCTGTCCTGTTTGGACTTTGGTGACATAAAAATAAACAACCATTAGTCAGCATAGTTTAGTTGCTAATGTCTTAGCCTCTGGAGTCAGTCTAGCTGGGTTCACATCCTGTCTAGGTCTCTTATTAGCTATGTGACATTGAGCAAATCACTTAACCTTTTGTGAATTTGTTTTATGCTCTTTAAAATACAACACTTCCTACTTCAAAGATTGGAAACCAAAGAAAAGTAATTCAAAATCCCCATCAACAGGGTCATCCAACTAAAAAATATATATATCTTGAGGATTTGCATTGATATTCAATATCGACATATCCAAGGCCTCCCTCCAGACCACTAGATTCTAGTAATTTGAACCGGCTTCTCCTCTCCCTCAAAGCAGCTCTGCTTAGTACAGTGCTTGGCACAAAGCAAATATTCAATAAATGTTAGCCAACGTTAGCTGCTCATCTGCTTTCCTTAAAAGCCAAGTCATTTCAACAAACCACCCCTGAGGCCCCAAGACACAGAAGAACAGCATCCAGTCCAAGCCTTCTGGTGCAGGTGGGAAACAGCAATCAGACTCTGCCAGACATATTGCCTTGATAAATGTGTGCCTCCCTCTTTGAACCACAAAGTTATAGCTTTTAGAATTAAAGATAGCTCCACTTATGTGCCACTGTATGCCAGGATATACTTGTCGTTTATAACACAATCTCACGGAAACATTGCTTTTAATATTTGCACTGCTGTGGGAGAATACAAATGTTAATCTCTGATGTTAATATCTTTAAGGAAAACTAATTTCATTTCCCAAGTTCCTCAACTAATGATATTTTTTGTTTGTTTGTTTGTTTTGTATCAGGATTTGATGAGTATGCAGTGATTCAGTATTCAATTATAGTCTTGCTCAGTATTTTTATGAGAGAATTATGACCTTCTGAAAAAAAAGCTAGTATGTAAAGTGTGGCAAAAATTTTAACTCATTTTTTAGGTTTTACTTTTTATTGAAATGTGATATACATACCAAGAAGTGCACACATAATAACTAAACAATTTGCTATATTTTCACAAACTGAACACAACCATGTAACCATTATCCAGATAAGAAGACAAAACATTATCAACATTGCAGAAATCCCCTTTGTACTCCCTTCCTGTCACCAACCCCTCCCCAAGGGTAACTATCATCCCGACCTCTAACCTCACTGATATGTGTTCCCTGTATTTGTACTCCATATGTATATAGAATCCTAGAGCAGAAACTCTTTATCTTACTTCTTTCACTCAGCATTCTGTTTGTGAGAATTGGCCTCATTGTCACGTATAGTTGTAGATGGCTCATGATCATTACTATGTAGAATTCCATCCTTGAATACACCATATTTATGACTTCTGCTATTGATGGGCAGTTTGAAGATATTATGAATAGTTTGTCTTTTGGTGCACATATGTACACACTCCAATTGAGCATCCACCCAGAAGCTAATTGCCAGGCCACAGGGTATATGTATGTTCTGCTTTAATAGATACTGACAAATTGTTTTCCAAAGTCGTTATGCCTGTAACAATTTACATCCCACTATCGGTGAATGAGCATCCCAGTTCTTCCACATTCTAAACAAAACTTGGCATTTTTCATTATTAAAAAATTGTTTGCCATTCTAACTAGTATGTGTCAGGGCATCTTTGACTTACTCCTAAGTCAAAGTTCTTAAACCTATTTTTTCTCTGTGGCACAAAGTCTGCAAATTCTATCACACTCCCTGGTGGTGATGCAGAAGGACGATGCACTCGGACTACGCTGGGCCACCTGGAGCACAATCTCAGCGCAGTTTCACAACCTGAAATACACAAATCTTACCCATGCAAAAAGAAAAAAGAAAAAAGCCTGGGGAAGCCACAGAGGGCTTCACTCAAAGACTCTTGAGGAAGAGGTGGTGGGAGAGCTATAGGACACAATACACAGCAGGGTTTCCTAAGGATGCTTTTACCACTGTTGTGTCAGATGCCTCCTTCCTCCTCAGGACTCCCTTCTCTGTTCTCCTCTTTTCCATGCTTGGGCTCCTCTCCTTTTATGCCCATTCCTTTCTTTGATCCTTTATGTCCAACTGTTGACTCCCAGGCTCTCTCCCTATCATTCCTCATCCTGGACAGCATTCCTCAAGACTAAGGGGATGGTCTGGCCAAAAAATAGCTCTTTCTCCCTAGAGAGAAAAGGAAAGGCAGATCGTAAGCATTATAACTGAATACTTCCTCCCATTAGTACTTGTGCAGCAGGGGTTTTTGAAATAACCAGTGTGTGCTGCACTCTTAGCTTCCCCTATCTCCCTTGGTAATTTCTTCCCATGGGTATCTTGGCCAGGCAGAGAACAAAACAGCCTGAACCTGAAGGACTTTTTCACTCTTTTGTGAGATACTAAATCCTCAAATGGGATTTTGCTGGGAGTCCTGGAAGAGGACTGGAGAGCAGTGTCTTTGAGAAGCAGAAATGCTGAGAGAAGCGATTTCTTTCTCATGCTGTGGGAGGAAACACGAGATCTGAGGACTATGAAAGTAGCAGGAACTTGGGCTGTGCTCAGTGGCAGTGCTGGAAGGCGGTGCTGGCCATGTCTAGTCTACATTAGTCTACATAGGAAGACTCTGCGCCAACTGAAAAGGTGCCCCCTCTAGGCAGATGCAGCCCAACAGGCATACAGCTTGATGAGCAACAGATGGTACCTTTGTCCAGAGGAAAATGAATCAGCCCATGCCAAGGCACAGGGCCTGACTGCCTCTAGGCCCCCTCATCCCCTCAATCTAGCCCTGTGGGCAGGGCACAAAATGCACCACTGTGTCTCTACAGAAATATAGCCAGACATCAGAGGGAAGCCTCTGTAGTGCACCTAGGGAGGAGAGACCCCAAGTGTTGGCAACCTCAGCCTTAGCATAAGTCCAATACCCCCCTTACTATGGCGCAGAGAGCCACAACACTGTAAGGACCCACGGATGTTGAAGTTTGACTGTGATATGTCAGCTGGGGCCACAATGATCTAGCAACTAGAGACCTTGGTCTTGATCCCATACCATTTGACTTCTTGAATATTGATACAATTCTGGAGAGTCAGGGATCCCAAAAGTAATTGAAATTTGGTTTCCTGGCAGCCTGGTGAGGGGGAGTAAGGGTCTGTTTAATTTGATTTAAAGGCAATAAGAACTGGGATGTTTCTTGTACACTTGAGTTGATTTGCTACAGCTATCATACCCGAATTACAGTTCCTTTTAAAAAAAAAAACCATTTTTGGTTTAGTAAAACTATAAAATGTAATATGCAAATGACAACAAAATTACTTCTGTTTAGGTCTACATACATAATTTTTTATTTAGTCCATGTAAACATTAGAATACAATCTTAACTTCGAATGTAATCCTGTACAATTTTATTGACATGGTTCCTAACAAGAGGTTATAGTGTTCATCATATAAAACACAAGGAATTCAAGATTATAATGGGCAAGGGTCTGACATTTCCAAGTATTCACTTGGGTACTAAAACAGGTTACTTTTCAATATTTTCTCCTTGTGGCACCGCTTTTTAGATTGTTTTATTTTTTTTTAACCTGAAAAGCAGAAATATCTGAAATGTTACTGCTCTCATATTTACAGTTGCTCTGAACTATTTGCAAGTGTCTACAACTGAAATGTTTATTTTTTGAATATTGAATACACTGTAGTGATTAGTTTTAATGACACTTACAAGACTAGTACTTGAACATTATATAGCTTACTTTTGTGACAGCCAAATTAATGATTGAAATTGAAAATTAATGTTATAAGTCATTGAGAGGAACAAATATCACAGTCAGAAACATCCAAAAATACTTAATAAAAATTGAATGAATATCATTCTCATTTAACCTAAAATAAGGATGATTTTTGAATAGCTTTTCCTTGTGAATAAAAGTCCAGATAATAAAACAAATATTTACTTAAAATATGTGATACCTTTTTTCTTGTAAACTTTTCACAAAAAGGACTGGAAGAAGAATTATTTTATCTTATTATAGTGAATAAAATTATAATAGTAAGAATGAAAAAAATCTGATATTCAATTATGCCAGAGATATTTAGGTTCCTTTTCTCTCAAGAGTTCATATTTGAACATGGCTTATCTTCACATAGTCTATTTTCTAGAATGGTAAAAGACAAATATGACCATTCCCAATGCTTAAACAAGAAAACTGGAGCACCAAGTTTTAATAAAATTCCTCAAGACCATAGTCAAGTATTAAATTCTCCATATAAAGTACACTTTAATGCCTCCATGTTTTTCTTTTACCATGGGATGATTTTTCTTTATTCTCTCTGCTTCAAAGTGCTTCTTATACTCTAAGATCAAAGTGGAATATTATCTCTTACATCAAACCCTCTCTAACCTTCAGGCAGAAATAACTGAATAATCATTCACCAATTTCATTAGCTTTAATTATGGAATCTTATCCCTTTGAATTTTGAAGAGTTTTTTTAAACTATGTCCCAGTACGCGCCAAAACTGTATAGAAAATACACCAAAATTATTACCTATGATTGTGGTTGTGAGTTGTACCATGTGTAACTTTTCAGTTTTTCTGTATTTTCTAAATTTTCTGTAAAGGTCATATAATTTATGATTAGAAAAAGCAAAACAAAACAAAAATGACATATTAAGTTTTATGAGCTATAATTTATAGCTAAGAAAAACCAATACTCTAAGACTAAGCCATAGTAGAGATATCTGAGGAGGGATAAAAGGACTTTGGATGAAGGAGGAATAAAAAAATCCCCGAAGAAAAATTTTACTTCCTTCATATATTATATCTGCATACTATGTTCCTCAGGCAGCTCAGGGGTCATCAAATAGACCCTGGGAATACCTCCATCAGTTTCAAGAAAGGGTAAGACGATAATCCAAATAGACAGATGACTACTGACAAAACTAATCTACCTTCCTTAAATAAAATGGATGGAATAACTTAAAGCCTTCTGGGGAAACATAAGACTCAGTGAAGAGTCAATCTCAAATGGCTGGAGCTCCAGACTAAAGCTTCCTGCTCTCAAATGTGAAGCTGAATCTAAAAAAGGCCAACAGTGCCTGCTCGTGTGTGCTGAATAGGGGAAAAGCCCAACTGCTGCACAAAGAGGCCCAAAAGTGCTGTGGCTTAAAGAGAAGAAAGCTCCCCTCTCTCTCATAACCTATCCATAGGAGAGTGGTCTGGTCTGGGGCAGCTCTGTTCCTTGCAGCCATGTAGGCACCCAGTTTCTTTCCACAGTTTATTCACCACAAGGCAGGGATTAGAACACTACAGGCCATGGACCAAATCCAGCCTGCCACTTGGATTTGCACATAACATTTTATTGGAATACAGCCATGCCCATTTGTTTACATATCATCTTTGGCTGCTTACACACCACAGGGTAGAGACTGAATGGTTACAAAACTGAAAATATTTACTATTTGGCCCTTTACATGAAGAAAAAGTTTGGCCACCCATGCTCTAAAATATGACCATGCTGAGCAGGGTTGGAGGCAGATTTAAGTTCCAGCTTGTGAAAAGAGCACCCAGCCAGCATTGCAAGGCCCAAGCTCAGAAGCAGCACATATCACATCCCTCACACTCTACCACAACGGCATAGTCACAAGTCTTCATGTAGTTGTAAGAAGGCTGGGAAATGAGTCTCTGGCTGAACAACCATGGTCCAGCTACATCTTTACAATGAAACAAAAGGAGGGCAGTCAGTAGCCTCCACCACATGGTGTGCTTTGTCCATCTGCTTCAACTGACATCATTAAAAGTAGCATATATCCACCTGAGTGTCATGTCATAGGCAAGTGGCCATATTTTTGTCCACACCAGAAACGTACTTTTGCTGCAACCAAGACAATATGCTTTCTAGTATTGTCTATCAGAGATAACACTGAAGTATGATTTGACACAAGAAGGAGGCGAGTATAAGAGCTATGGAAAGTGCCAAGCCAACCCAAAGACAGATTGTGTTTTATTGGAACGTGCAATGTCATAAGCAAGCTGGTTTAAAATGGTATCCACTCTTCTCAAACAACATCATGGTGTCAAAGGGTGGCCTGGTGAGTGTGCCATGCTAAATGTATTTGGAAACTAATGCCTTCAAAAAAGTGCTGTCCAAAATTCTGTTTTGTAAAAATATTCTTCAAACACACACACAAAGTTTGAACCCATTTAGAAATAATTGACCACACACAAAATAAACTGTAAGTCTCCAATCAGGCTCCATTTAAAAAGAAAAAAAAGCGTACGTAAAAAGATCCAATGAACAGTATCAATTTCCATAGGAGACTTCATAGTCCATTTGCTCTACCACCATAAGAGATTAGAAGCAAAAAGGCATCTAAGCTGATCTTTCTGCCAGGACGATTCCCTGCAGCAAGTTTTACTGCCTTCTTTGATTCAGTTTTAAATGTCTGGAGCAACATGTTCTCCCCATCCTTCTCCAAAGGCAATTCAAAGTCCTATGGGAGATTTTTGCAACGGCCGTGGTGTAAAAAGTAATAGAATGAGGAATGAAGAGTTAGAGATTCTGGTCCTCACTCTTCTGCTTCTCAACCACATGGACTTGCATGATTCATTCCATGAATTCACTCAAATTGTGTTGAGGCCTCTCTGTGGGAGAAACAAAGATGACAGAAACTAAGCCCAGCCCTTTAAGAGTTTATAATCTAATGCAAGAGTAACTGCAAGAGAAAGAGAAAATGCTTTGATGGGTGGCTGGTATCACACCTGTTGTGAGTGATGGTTGAGGAGAGTCATGCAAACTGTTATGGAAGGTGGGTGAGACCTGGAATGCAAAGAGGAAGGAAAAGGTGGAGGTAGGAGAGGAATGACTGGTGGCCAATTTCAGCTAGAACTTGTATCATTCACAGGGGAACAATGGGAAATCAGGAAAGATAGAATGGAACCAGTCCTGGAAAACTAATGAATTTTGTTTTTTAGTAAGCCAAGTGACTGAAGGTTTCTGAGAAGGGGGATGATTTGATTAAGGAATAGCTTTAGTAGAATTATTTATGTGGTGATATTCACATGGTAAATGAATTGGGGGTAGGCAGACTACTTAAAATCTCATTAGAAAGCTATGATAAGAAGACAGATGTGGAAGAGATTATCAGTAATGAAGATATTCAAGGAACTATTTTCCCTGTGTTGAACATGATCCAATTGCTTATTTTAGGATGCTACAATCAAAAAAATGATGAAGCAGAAAATACAACACTTAAGATAACAGATAAAATACTTGCAATTGATATGACAGAAAAATAACAGACTAGAAAGGCATTTCATTCTTAATTTAATGTTTATGAGGATTTTTTTAAATTATACTTTAAGTTTTAGGGTACATGTGCACAATGTGCAGGTTAGTTACATATGTATACATGTGCCATGCTGGTGTGCTGCACCCATTAACTTGTCATTTAGCATTAGGTGTATCTCCTAATGCTATCCCTCCCCCCTCCCCCCACCCCACAACAATACCCAGAATGTGATGTTCCCCTTCCTGTGTCCATGTGTTCTTATTGTTCAATTCCCATCTATGAGTGAGAACATGCGGTATTTGCTTGCAATAGTTTACTGTGAATGATGATTTCCAATTTCATCTATGTCCCTACAAAGGACATGAACTCATCATTTTTTATGGCTGCATAGTATTCCATGGTGTATATGTGCCACATTTTCTTAATCCAGTCTATCATTATTGGACATTTGGGTTGGTTCCCCAAGTCTTTGCTATTGTGAATAGTGCCGCAATAAACATACGTGTGCATGTGTCTTTATAGCAGCATGATTTATAGTCCTTTGGGTATATACCCAGTAATGGGATGGCTGGGTCAAATGGTATTTCTAGTTCTAGATCCCTGAGGAATCGCCACACTGACTTCCACAATGGTTGAACTAGTTTACAGTCCCACCAACAGTGTAAAAGTGTTCCTATTTCTCCACATCCTCTCCAGCACCTGTTGTTTCCTGACTTTTTAACAATTGCCATTCTAACTGGTGTGAGATGGTATCTCATTGTGGTTTTGATTTGCATTTCTCTGATGGCCAGTGATGATGAGCATTTTTTCATGTGTCTTTTGGTTGCATAAATGTCTTCTTTTGAGAAGTGTCTGTTCATATCCTTTGCCCACTTTTGGATGGGGTTGTTTGTTTTTTTCTTGTAAATTTGTTGGAGTTCATTGTAGATTCTGGATATTAGCCCTTTGTCAGATGAGTAGGTTGCAAAAATTTTCTCCCATTTTGTAGGTTGCCTGTTCACTCTGATGGTAGTTTCTTTTGCTGTGCAGAAGCTCTTTAGTTTAATTAGATCCCATTTGTCAATTTTGTCTTTTGTTGCCATTGCTTTTGGTGTTTTAGACATGAAGTCCTTGCCCATGCCTATGTCCTGAATGGTATTGCCTAGGTTTTCTTCTAGGGTTTTTATGGTTTTAGGTCTAACATTTAAGTCTTTAATCCATCTTGAATTAATTTTTGTATAAGGTGTAAGGAAGGGATCCAGTTTCAGCTTTCTACATATGGCTAGCCCGTTTTCCCAGCACCATTTATTAAATAGGGAATCCTTTCCCCATTGCTTGTTTTTCTCAGGTTTGTCAAAGATCAGGTAGTTGTAGATATGCGGCACTATTTCTGAGGGCTCTGTTCTGTTCCATTGATCTATATCTCTGTTTTGGTACCAGTGTCAGCTGTTTTGGTTACTGTAGCCTTGTAGTATAGTTTGAAGTCAGGTAGCGTGATGACTCCAGCTTTGTTCTTTTGGCTTAGGATTGACTTGGTGATGCGGACTCTTTTTTGGTTCCATATGAACTTTAAAGTAGTTTTTTCCAATTCTGTGAAGAAAGTCATTGGTAGCTTGATGGGGATGGCATTGAATCTATAAATTACCTTGGGCGGTATGGCCATTTTCACGATATTGATTCTTTCTACCCATGAGCATGGAATGTTCTTCCATTTGTTTGTATTCTCTTTTATTTCATTGAGCAGTGGTTTGTAGTTCTCCTTGAAGAGGTCCTTCATGTCCCTTGTAAGTTGGATTCCTAAGTATTTTATTCTCTTTGAAGCAATTGTGAATGGGAGTTCACTCATGATTTGGCTGTCTGTCTGTTATTGGTATATAAGAATGCTTGTGATTTTTTTACATTGATTTTTTAACTATTTTGTAAGCTATGAAAGGCTGTGAAAATGAAACTCTGGGAAGGATGTAGGAGCAGGTTCCTCTTATTAAGAAGATAGAGTCATAAGGAAGAAATTACTAACCTCTCTAGGCTTTTCACACTTATGCCAAGTTAGATGGACCTTCTAGGTGCTACTTTGAAAAATTTTAACTAGGAAGACAGTCTGTTTTTTTTTTTTTTTTCCTTTCATAGAACTATATTTTGCATACAATAAAATGTACCTATTTTAAGTGTATAGTTCAATGAGCTTTGATGACATATACACCCATGTAATCATCCCCATACACCCATATAATCATCCCCATAATTAAGCTATAGAATGCTTCTGTCGGCCTTCCCCCTCCTTTCCCCAGGCCCCACCACATTCTCTCATAACTCTGCAATCAAACTCCAGCCCCTTCTCAGGCAAATGCTGACCTGACATCTGTCACTATAGATTAGTTTTGTTTGTTCTATAAACTTCATGTAAATGCAGTCATACAATAGGTATTCTTTTGTGTCTGGCTCTTTTTGCTTATAAGGTTTTTGAGCTTCACCAATGCTATTATATGTAAAAGTAGTTTATTCTTTTTTACTGGTAAGTTGCGTGAATATTCCGCAACTTGTTTATCCATTCATCTGTAAATGTTATTAGGGGTGTTTTCAGTTGGGAGCTATTATGAATAAAGCTGCTGTGAACATTAGTGTACCTGTCTTGTTGTGGACATAGGGTTCATTCCTCTTGGGCATAGGTTTTCGTATACTTCCATATCATCTAAATCTGAGTCATATGGAAGTATATGTTTTCTTTTATAAGAAACTGACAAACTGTTTTCCAAAGTATTTATAGTATTTTACGTTCCCAGGAGCAGTATATGAGAGTTCCAGTTGCTCCACATCCCTTCCAACACTTGTTTTTGTTAGTCTTTTAAATTTTAGCCATTCTGACAGGTTTGTAGTAATATCAGGGAAATTTGCACTTCCCTGATGATTAATCATATGTTCATGTCCTTCTTGGCCACTGCATATGTATTTTTGTGAAGGGTATGTTCCAATCCTTCACTCCCTTTTTAAACTTGTCATTTGTCTTATTTTTGAGTTGTGAGAGTTCTTTACATATGTTAGTATGTTGGATGTAAGTCTATACACACATCTATATATATATGTATATGTATATATACATATATGTGTGTATGTATATGTATATATACATATGTGTGTATATATGTATATATACATATATGTGTGTATATATGTATATATACATATATGTGTGTATATATGTATATATACATATATGTGTGTATATATGTATATATACATATATGTGTGTATATATGTATATATACATATATGTGTGTATATATGTATATGTGTGTGTATATATATATGTGTGTATGTGTGTGTGTGTGTGTGCGTGTGTGTGTGTATATATATGGCAGATACTTTCTTTCCAGTCTTTTGCTTTTTCATTTTCTTAGTGATGTGTCTGGAAGAGCAGTAGTTGTAATGAGTGGGGTTGTAATTTAATTAAAAATTAAGTTTTTAATTTTAATAAAGTCTAATTCATCAATTTTTATGGTTATAGTTCTGTTCTATTTACAAAATCTTGAAAAAAATATGTTTTCTCCTGGAAGCTTTATATGTTCCGCTTTTACTTTAGGTCTATTATCTACTTTAAGTTTACTTTTGTGTACAGTGTGAGTAGGATTGACGCTCATTTCTTTCCCGTTTGAATATCCAGGTATTCCAACACTATCTGTTGAAAATACTACCCTTTCCTTATTGAATTACCTTGGCACCTTTGTCCAATGTTGATCTATTTCTGAACTCTTTATTTACTCTATTCCACTGATCTATCTTTACACCAAGACCACACTCTTGATTATGTAGCTTTGAAGTAAAGCTTGAAATCAGAAAATGGAATTTCTCCAAATTTATTTTTCTTTTAAAGGACTATTTTGACAATTGTAGGTCCTTTTTATTTCCACATATCTATTAGAATCAGCTTGCGTGTTTCTACAAAGAAGTCCTCTGGGAAGACTTGCATTGAATCTAAAGATCAATTTGGGGAAAATTGATTTCTTAACAATATGAGTTTCCTAGTTCAAGAATATGATATTTTTCCTTTTTATTTGACTTTTAAATTTTCTCTTAACAATCTTTTGTAGTTTTCAATGTATGGATCTTGTACGTATTTTGTTAAACTTATCCTGAAGTATTTCAGACAGCCTGTCTTAGGAGTTAACTATTGAGGAAAGTAATCTCTCTCATTATTTGTCAGTTTTATTAGTTTAATTACCAGAATAACAATTTCTTCAAATTGGTGGTAATGGAGGAAGGGTTGTAATGGAGGAGGGGTACTTCTCAATTGGAATGATACATATCTAATTGGATATATATATATATATATATATATATCTCCAATTAGAAGATAATTTCCTGCCATACTAGAAAAAAGTCTCTCTAGATGAAGCCTCACTGAACCCCAGCTTGCCAGCATGTCAATACATACACATACAAAGACTATAAATGAACAAGTCTCCCTGGTGTCAACTATGAAGCTACTTACCAAGATAATTAGGTCTTTAAAGTTGAAAGCAGCTCTTTTATGGATTACCCAGTCTGCAAGTCTACATATGGTTACTATTTTAAAATTATCAGATTTATCACATTAATGGGCACTATAAAAATGTTTTTTCTAGGGCTGGATTTTTTTTTAGCATAATTCTCATGCTTTAGTTTGAATCAGCAATTGCATTTGTGCAATTACAGAGTGCTTGTAGGAGGCCTAAAAACTAAGAGTAGAGAAAAATGTTTTATCAGCAAGGTTTTTCCTAGATGTACAAAATTCTCTTGAAAACACTTTTGGGAAATCTAACTACCTAACTGATGTTTTTCTTTCCACACAGAAATATTGATGTTAAAGAGGAAACTAACTTTCTGAACCATTAAATGTAATATCATTTATCTCACCAAATCCCAAGATAGGTATTTTATAGATTGTTCTTCATTTGAAAAGTAGATTACCCAAGATTCCTAGAATAATTATATTATAAATATAATAATAACATTACTTATATAATGTTTCTTCTATATTTGTGGTCTCAGTCTTTTCTCATATGAATCAAATTAGATAAAGAAGGATTCAGTGTTATTTAATCAGGAAAAAACTCTAAACAAAAGTCAAAGAGCAATCTAAAATATTAAATAGAGATCTGGCTCTGTGTCCTTTCTTTCCTTTCTTTTTTCCCTCCTTACTCTTCTTTTTTTGATTTTGGGCCTTAAAAGAACACTCAGAAACCACAAATATTCAAGAAATATTAACAACAATAATAGTCATGTATTATCCAGTCTGTGTCAGGAATAAACATTCCGATTTTATAACCTTCAGGCCTCTGCCAGGTATTATTACTTCCACTTTACAAAGAAACCGAAGTTCATAGAGTGTCACTTACCTTTCCCAAAGTCACATGGCCAAATCTCAAAGATAAAATTCAAATTACAGGGCCAAATCTCTCTCCATCATACAGATGCCTCCCACATTGCCTGTGACTTTACAGAAGCTTGGAGTCTAAATTATGTGGCTGCTATTAGTAACAACTTTGAGACCGAAGGCTATTGGGCTATTGGCTCCACCATGGGCACCACTAGCTTTAAACTCAAACAGACAGATGAGACCACTTGAACCTTGGCAGTTACCAGTTCAGAGGAGCAGCCTAACCCAGCCACTCCACAGCTGCAATTTGAGAGCATCTAGAGGACACCACATAAATCTTTTCACCTGGTCCCTGCTACCACAGATGAAACCTCCTCAATGCCCCCAAGAAGCCATCTTGGGCAGGAAAAAGAGGTGGGTGTAAAATTTGGATGACTAGTAATTTACCAAAAGAAATAGTCATTCCAAAGAGGCTGTTATACTGGCCCTGATTTAAATTTTCAATAGTCTGAATGTTTAAACTGAAAGGAGAAATACAAACATGAAGTGATAGTAGTTCCCAATGGCAAATGGAAGATGTCCCTAACCATCAGCAGGGCGGGGCTCATGAAGATCAGATAAGCTATTAAGAACGGGTGCTACATTTCTTGACCTGAGTTTGGTGTGAATGATCTTGTGACCTCATTACAGTTTTTATAATTTGAATTCAACACCATAAGCTAAAAGAGGATAAACAAAATGAGGAACCAACCGTTTCACAAAGTCTTTTAGGTGCAAGTGTTTTCCAGCCTACAAAACACTCAAGCTCAGGAAGGTTAAAGGAATTTGAGTGATCATTTACTTCCATCAACTAGAACATCCTTAGGGTTTCTATTTAAGAAAACCTTAAAATAAGGGAGCTTTTAGTTTCAATTTGGTTGTCAACATGCAGAAAAAAGGAAAGCTGAAATCAAAGTTATAATACAATCTGAAAATTAAACATTAAGGGGAAAAGCCATACCTTGAAGAGTAGCCTTTGCTGTCAATCAGTATTTCTGTCTAAACTGTAAAAACAGAGGAGGGGAAATCAGCTTTGCTGTGAACTGCCAAGGGAATTGTCTTTATTCTGCCAGATGCTCCAGATGGTTTTCTTACAGAGAAACTTCATTTCATGCTTGCAGTTGTTTATTCCCATGCATCTAACTCTCGGCCAGGCACTGAAACAGGTACTTCATTGATCTACTAAATATGATTGTAAAATTACTTCATCTTATTTAAAATTGCAAGCCAAGCAGGAAAAGTGAGACCATGTACTTCCCTTCCTTTCTTTTAACCTCAAATTTGAACCTGCTTTTAAATCAGTTTAAAACTAATTAATGACCCTTGTTGCTAAGTGACTCGAGAGACCAGGAAGGAACTATGATCTGCTTTGTAAAACAAAACATTAAATACTTATGAAACCTTTCCATATAAATCTTTGTACTATCATACAAATATTTCACTTTGGAGGCTATTTGTCTTGAAGAAATCTTATCTCAAAAAGGGGTCATAATAAGTAGCTGCCTGTAGACTTATACATCTGCTTGTATATTTATAAGCAGCTGTATATTTGTTTCAAGATATTACTTGTTTTAAGATATTACTGCTGAACATTTTTTTTAATTCAATGACTGGTTATTGAGTGTTTATTATGGACACTGTTAGGCACCTAAGATACAAAGAAACACCATGGCATTTTGTGAAGGCTGCATGCTTTCTGGTGGCAGAGGGAAGAATTAGGAGTTTCTTGCAATAGGTAAAGATCTGTGAAGACACTGGAGGTGATGATGAAGTGAGGATTGGAGACAAATTCAAGGAATAGCATCGACAGAATTTGTTATCAAATTACATGTGTTGATGAATGAAAAGCCAGGAATAGCTCCCTGGTTTCCAGTTTGGGGATCAGGCTGTGTCATTCAATGAGATTAGAAATGTCAGGGTTACAGCAGTACAGCAGGCTCCACATTGTCCCAGAGATGAGATCTGGAAGAGCTACTATGTACAGTAAGGCATGCTGTCAGAGATGATTATATCCAAAGACCATTTTTCAGAGACCCAGTGGTTTGTTTCCTAAATGGAAGTATTTGGACCTACTTCAGAACTTACCAAACATAAGCACTGGCCAGGTAGCAAACACATTAAGTGGTGAGAAAGCCTCTTTCAGGAAGAGGACTCTGGTCTTAGGTTAGTACCGCAGCATGGGTCAGCCCACTGTCTGGGCTGATGCTCTTGAATGCATTCTATTAAGAGGTGTTCCCTGAGTTAAAAAGAACCACACATAGCAAACCCACTGTAAAGACCCACATAGCTTGGGTTCCTCAAACTCTTCCATCTGCAGCTTTTAGAGGAGCAGAATTATGACACCTATCCATCCTTCACCTTCATTATCTGCAAAATTAGGATCCACACTCCCTGCCAATTATACAAGTCTATAATTTCCCTTCTCATTTCTGGACATTGAAACAGATAAAATGAGAAATTAGTTGAATGCTAGATTTTTTTTTTTTTTTTTTGTAGACGGAGTCTTGCTCTTGTCACCCAGGCTGGAGTACAGTGGCACGATCTCGGCTCACTGCAACCTCTGCCTCCCAGGCTCAAGCGATTTTCCTGCCTCAGCCTCCCGAGTGGCTGGGATTACAGGCGCACACCACCATGCCCAGCTAACTTTTGTATTTTTAGTAGAGACGGGGTTTCCCCATGTTGACCAGGCTGGTCTCAAACTCCTGATCTCAGGTGATCCACCTGCCTCAGCCTACCAAAGTGCTGGGATTACAGGTGTGAGCCACCACGCCTGGCCTAGATTTTTGTTTTTCAAAGAAGATAAAAATGTTCAATTTCTATTGAAAACAATGAGAATTTATTTCATTTCTTCTGTATAGTACAGGGGTGGTGCTTTGAGGGGATAAACAGCTGAACAAGACAATGACCCAGGACTTCCAGTAGGCCCCATTTTAATGTCACAGTATTATAATATCTATAATTTTGAATTTTGAAAGGTGAATGTTTCTTTAGCACAAAATTCTTCATTCTTCTAACTCCAGTTGTAAGAAAATAATCGCAATTAGGCCACCATGTTCATAGAATTAATTACATACACATTTTTAAATAGTGTTAACTTTAAGTGGCCTCCCACTAAGATATGAAGTACATATCTATTTGGAGGATTAGAAAGTAAAATTTCCAGCTTTCAATAAGAATCAAACTGATAGTGTACTAAAAATAAACTAAGGTCATCTGATTGAAAGGCTTCACCTCTGTCTCACACTCCAGCTCTTTTCTTGGAAGAGAAGAAACCGTTTCAAAAAATTATTAAGGGAGCAACAAAGGGCTGTTTTGTACATTCATTACATTCACGGTGAGGGAAATGTTCTGTCCTGTCAATATCAGTGTATCTAATCTAAAATCATTAATTCCATACCTGCTAGCTTTTTTAGTAAAACTATATTAAAATTAAAAGTAAAACTTACAGTATTTGTTTCGACCTATAAACCTGGTTAACATCCATTAGATTAGATTGGTTTTCATTAAAATAAGTGCTACACAAGACCTGTCATAACTAAGCATCTTCTTGTTTTTTGTTTTGTTTTGTTTTTTCTAGAGCCCCAGCAGCTACTATTAATGAGTGTCTGGAATATGTTCCTGGCATTTCACCTACCCTCTCTCCAATCCTTCCAAGAAACTCACAAAGCAGGTATTATTACCAACAAGAGACCAGACACCCTGAGAATTTACACTCCTTCCCCAATACCACACAGTCAATTATAACTGATGATGTTGCCACTTGTACCAAAGTCCATCTGGCTTCAAAGCCTGCTCTCTCCCCATTCAACAAAATGTCTCTCTGCCCTTACTTTTTTTTCCCTTCAGGGCTTTTTCTTGAACTTCTCTTCCTCACAACAGTTAAATCATCCATTTAAAGATGTCAAACAACCTCCGTGTTCTAAGGTGAGTTGTCAGATCTCATTTGGTTCACCTTGTCTACCACTTATCCTTTGTTTATTCATTCTTCTTGTAACCTCTTTCTTTTCCAAAGCTGAGAGTAGATAAAACTAGCTATTTCAATAATAACTAGTTATTATTTCAATAATACCATTTGAGGAGAAAATATTTGTATATTTGGTAGTGTTGAATATGCAATAAAGCTGTAAAAAATAGAAGAATGTTAACTACTGTAGCAAAATTAATAAACCCAGTTTTCCTGAATAGTTAAGTTGAATCCATGCTGACTCTCAAATCTGTCTCTTTAGTATCCTATTTTAAAATCCTCTTCCAATTAATCCTACATATTCATGGGGATAATCCTAAGAGCAGGGTAATCTTTACTTGTTCCCCATATTAGTCTGACAACTCATTCAGTCACCGTTGCCAAAGCCTAAAATCGCCCACAAGAAGCCAAACTGCCTGTCATCATTTTTATCCAGGCTGGGATTTCCCTCCATGCTTGAAATACCAGCTTGTCTGTTTTGCATCCACTTTAGAATTAAAATAAGGAAAATGTTATGAATCTTTTCCCAAAATCTCTCCCATATTAAAATTTACATTCTTGCAGAAGTGCAGACTCAGTCCTGCATTTATTACTATCCTAAGAATCTTTGTTTTCTTCAGATTTTACAATACCTTCACACATTCAATCTGTGGGGAAAAGAAAATCGTATTTTCTGTTACCAGAATGTATTCATTCTTCCCTTATGAAAATGACTGCATGTGTGCACTTCTCTCTCTACTAAACCATTCATACAAAAGGCTGAAGTTAAAATCACGCTCATTCACCACTGAGGCTGTTATTTGCTATCATTTTCTCAGTTATGCACAATCTAACTTCACTCTTACTACAACTTATTCTTAGTTCTTTCATCCTCTTTCCCTGCTTATATAGAATGCAGCCAAGCTCAAATGTTATGCTTTTCCTCATTTTTGTCTACATTGTCCTGTGATTCTTAGAGCAACCTCCTCACTTTCATCTTGCAATTTCAATTTTTCTTAATCAAAAACTTGACTACTTAAATATTAGCCCGCCTAAGTGAAAAACATCTTTCACCTTCATTAGCTATTCATATTCATTCATCTGTAAGAAAAATACTTTTAAAACTCTGCATTACACAAAGAGATAACAATAAACATCCAAGTATTTACATATGTGATCTGTTCTGTAGAATCTCACAATAAAAATAACTTCATATATATGATTCACCCTTCACAATATTTATTTTTGAGGATAAAAGAAAATAATGTTAGTCTTATGTGTTAATCATAAAAAATACATGCTTAATGACAGGAAAACAGCAAGTCATTTTTTCTAGTTCTTTAAAAATATTTTAATCGTGCAAAATCACCATAATGTACTCTAGCACAATGCTAAAATGTTATCTAAGATGGAGTGGCTTTTATTAGTTTTACAGGATGTATATTTGGCAATAGTTCTTAAAAATAATTACTCAAAAGGAACTCTAACTCTATTATTTTAGAAACAATATTTTAAAATACAGCAGTAAGCAACAAAAACTATTGCTCTTTATACATTTTTGGCATAACACTGCCATACGGTTACAGAATTATAAAATAAGTATTTTATAGTACCATACAGATCCAGAAACTGGTTACAACTTCTACCACATACACATGGTATTGGTACTAACGAACATGCACAGCATTCTGTAATTCATACTGCAGTTGAATACAGAGCACAGAGAAGGCCCAGTGGCCACTGGAGAATCAGAGCTTATGTTATAAGTAAAACACACATCTTTGTAACAATCGTAGGCATTTTCCTGAAATATTTAAAATACAAGGGACACAATAGTTTCCAAAATGACATAATCTACCATCCTTCTTAGATAATACTAAAAAAGAAAGATTACCTTACATAGGAAACAACTTAAAGCCCTTTTTAAAAACAGGAGGAAAATGCTTGTCAAAGGACCTAACATTTTGCTCTCATTTGTTTCTCACAATTATAATGCCACACAATTAATATGCTGTCAACTCTTGACAGTGTGGAAGTTACTTCACTCACAAACCACCTATCACTGAGTCTTTCTCTTATCTGCAGCCAGACCATCAACTTAACTTGTAAAACTACCAACTGTTGCTACACACAGGCAAAGGAATTAAACTTGGTAGCTGATCATTTGATTACATCTATCAGTCTACTGGAGGGCTTCAACGCAGAGTAGGTGGAATTCATGGTTCAAATCAGAGTATTAATGGGATCTGTTTGCACACCAATACCTGATCTCCTTGGCACAAATACAGAGCTGATTCTTAAAGCATGTCCCCACAATAAAGCTTTTCTTAATCATTCGTCACCTGCTTCCAATAATTCTGGCACTTACACAAACTTATCAAGGGTTATGTCTTTATTTCTGTGGTGAGTTTCCTGTTGCTGTTTCTAGACTTTTATTTCATTTGTATTTTATTTTTCTTCACATGAAACAAAATCTGTTAGCACTGGGAAAGAAAAGTTCATTTGACTAATGAGTGTAGAATGTAAATGTTTCTTAGTACCAAAACTTATTATATATCTAATTTTTCTAGTTAACGTAAATTGTTACACAAAGTATAATTTAAAAAGTAAAACTATGACAAACCCTAAAGCTTAAATATTTTTAGAGAAAAAGGTATTTTAGCACAGTAAGTGACCACTACTGCCTTTTCTCTGAATCATTTTATAAAGAGATTTTATATTAATATACAGCTGTGAATGAACAACTTCCCTAATTTTTTAATTAAATAAATAGGAGTGAGGGAAAAAAACTCATATTTCAATGATTCCCAAGATCGTTAAGATATAACTACAATTTACTAATGCCCAACTGCTCACAGTTTTCTAAACAACTACAAAATAAATAAATTGTAGCAGGTATTTTATGAGAACTGATACCCATCAAAATTGTGTATGGAGTCCATGATGGCCTATCCTCCCCAGAAGTCAGAGCTCACAGTGCCCAACACCCTCATTATCCAGAGGAGAATCTGAGGACCCATCATGCCAGTGGAGAAGGCTGGAGCCCAGCACTGGCGCCACTTTCCTGAGATGCCCACACTGATTCTTGTCCCTTCTCCCTCTCTGAACTCTACTTCCAGCCAGTTTGGGTCATAACACAAAACATTTAATTGTATTCTCTACATGAAAACTTTAGTTCAGGAAAATAAACATATTAAGAGGTTATTTCCCTCAAATAACTGAAACAATAAACTTCACAACAGAATAGGAAAAAAAATGACAAAGAACACTCTCTGTAGTCTAGGAAAAATGCAAGAACAGTGCTTTTAAAATGATTCTAATGAGACTACAGCATAAAAGTTTTTCAAATTAGTTTCAGATTTCTCCAACTGCCTACTGGAATTAAACTTTTAATAATTTCTCTAACATAATTCTATTTCTGCATCCGCCTACATCTAAGAAGAAGCAAAACATAAATATTATTTGTAGTAACTAAGGAACGTTTAAAATGAAAATTATAGTATGTAGCTAAACTACAAAAAGCATAAATAAATATAACAGACAGTATAGTTAGTCTTTCTTACTCTAAACACGTTTTGTCAAATGTAACACATTGTTGAATATCATGGTGAGTACACTTCTTGATAAACTGATGCTATTGTCCCAAACAGCAACTTCTCCAAAATGATAAAGCACCACCTAAATTTCATTAAAAGAACTGATATTCATGGTTTAGAAAGTTCCCAATGATGAGATTTTATAATGTAATAAAAATGTAAACTTCTGAATGAAAACCATTTACATTTGTTAAGGCACATCTGGATACCTCCAGACATTCATATTTATAGCTATATTATTATTCATTTCAATAATAAGGGATTTCTAAAAACACATTCTGTCCCTGAACACAATCTGCTGGGTGTGTTGGATAACTAGAATGCAGAAGGAGCAGGGTAGTACTCACTGTCACCCTAGAGATTAGCCACACAAATATGTTCCTGTAATAAACAGTACAAAACTCAAAAAGAAGCCAGCAAATGTACACTCCTAATTTTCTAGATCCTACATTGACCCAGGCCATTTTTCTCTACAACTTCACCTACATTTAATGATTCTAGTGTGTCTAAATACAGCCTACCTTATACTCAACGCATATACCCCAAATGAGAGAGGGGAATTTCCTAAGTGGAAAACAAAATAGAAATCTTCAAAAACATTCCTACAACAGAGGATCGCCACTCACCCCAAACAGACATTAAAGACTGGTAGATGTAGTTACAATCAAGCAAGATCAAGAATATCCTTTGTATCTTAGATTAGAAAACAAAGCTTTAGAAGAGCCTCAATTATAGTTTAAAAAATGCGTGATTACTCAGTATGGATGACTACTCAACCATAACTCTATTATAAACTTGAAAATTTAATATTAAAACAATTAACCAAATATTCTCCCCCCATTGGTTAACCCAATTTTTGACCACTCAGTGTTGAGGTTCATTTACTACTATGATTTTTCAAAGACTAACTCAGATGTAATACTGTACTGTTTTTTCTTTCCACCACATCATACTTTCACTCAGATTAAAGTATAAAACTAGAAGCAGGGTAGGTGATTTTATATGACAAAATATGAAACAATGACTATGACAGGCATTATGGCATTTTCATATGTTTATATTTTTACTACTTAGCAAAAAAATACTTAGAACTTCTCTAGTAACTCCTGAGTTGTAGATTTTATTTTCTCATTGAAGCTGGAAAAAAGTAGTCCCAAAACCTAAATTCAAAATAAAACTATGCAACATAATTTTTGAGTTGACAACTAGGCTTGATTTAGAGAAAGTAAACATATTTTCACCTCTATCATTATTCTTTTGAATTTCTTATGAGATCGAGAATGAAAATGTATAATGGTACAATATTCTTCATGTTATAAACTCTTTCTCTACTGTACAGAAATATATCTTATAACTATATGTCACTTTACAGTATTTAAAAATAGTTTCACATAATCTCCTTTGATATATGAAAGCACAAAATATTAGAAATGTTCTAGACTAATCAAGCGATATAACATCTATTTGCCATGAAATGCAAGTTAGTATTTTATCAATAGCCAATATTTAGTATCCTTGCACTCCACAGTACAACAATAAAGATTATATATTTGTAAAGATTCAGTAATATTTTTAGCTATTTGGTCATGCTTCACTGCATTTTTTATAACAGCTTCTCAATGAATTTCTGCAAGCATATCGTAGTTTTTAAAATTACAAAACATAGGAGTCAAACCCAGAGCACTGTTTCATATATAAGACACACATAAATACATATCTATAGATCTTATTTAAAAAACTAATATACAAAGCATTAATAGAAAAAAATTCTAGACACTCAATGTTTATCTCCAAAAGGAATGATATCCTTTTACTTGTTCTCCACTGAATGATTATCTAAGTTATTTAGGGATTAAATGTAAGAAACATACTATTATATATGAATATGCATTTAAAAACACCATAGTGGGAAAAGGCCACTATTTAAGATGGATGCCAGGAAGTGTTTCTCTTGAGACTAAATATTCTCGAATTTAATGTTACAATCTAATCAAAATCCCTAAGTAGGAAGAATATTCTAAAAGTTAAGTTGCTAAATGAAATGTTTTTACTCATAAGGGCTCTAATATACAATTTCTAAGTAATTCAAATTACATTCATTGATTTTAGTATCTGGTAACTTTATTAATATCATAATATCTGGTCACAATCTTTTACTATTATGCATTTAGAAAGTTGTCTGAATACTTTATCATGTATATAAAATTGGTAAGTTATTTTGAATTAAATTATTTGTGTTCTACAATTCAGCCTAATTTGACAATCGCTTCTCATCCTCTAAACCCTGTAGAACTATTTACTGAGCTCTACGGAGACACAGCTACAAGCACCACGTAAGAGTGTCCATGTTTTTCTTGCATGTAAAACAGAAATTGAAATGCAAAAGCAGATTGCCAAATCCTAATACTCACAGAACACTAGGAAAGCAAAAACTGGCATATTATGGGAACTAAAAATGAGAAAGTGTTCCATACTATACTTATTGGAACACAATGTACAACAAAAGTGCTACTGAGATTCATATAAAAAATTAGAGTTAAGCAACTGGCATGTTTCATGTAAACTTCAAAGCAGTAAAATCATATTTCTAGAGGCATACTATAAGTGTGATTCTTTTCAAGAAATCCACTGCAGAAAATGTGGATCAATAGAGGCAACAGAAGATGATATGAAGTAGGACATATTACAAATTCCCTAGGGGATTAAAATGAATAGAACTTTTCTTAAAAGCCTAACAAAAAAGTTAATTCCTTTCTAAATGAAATAAAGTAGACATGTTTCATCTATTCATTGCTTTAACTATATTTGTATATATGCTTTGAAGTTCTTATCACAGTGTTTTTTGATTTGTAATAATAATTAGTAATAATATAGAAACAAAATTAATTGTTCTTAACCAGTGCTATGTAACCTATTAAGTGCTTACTAGAGTTGCATATATGGACTTTTAAATTTGTTCTCAATTTTGAAGTTTGATAACTTAGAGATGTACAAAACTATACTTTTTAAAAAACACGTTTGGGCTAAGCAACATTACTAATTTCGTAATCCATAGAACACTGACATATTCATGGTTTAAGGGACTACTGTCTTGTTCACAGTGCAAGAGGCATGCCTTTTAAAAAGGAATTTCTTATTTTTTAATTCTTCAGTCATTTACATTCAGAATCAACCATCAAATTTATATGGAACAGCCATAGAGAGCAAAATTCTTGTCTTGAACTTTTCAATCAAATTTGTTTTTAAGCACTTAATTCTGAAAACAGTTATTAATTTAAACAAAGCAAAATCTTGAAGTCATACAATTAGAAGTCCCACTCTGTTCCATGTAGATTTCAATATAGATCATCCTAATGTGTATAGTGGTCCCTTGATATCTGTAGGGGGTTGGTTCCAGGACCCTCTGCAGTTACCAAAATCTAGGAATGCTCAAGTCCCTTATGTAAAATACTTTAAATCATCTCTAAATTACTTACAATACCTAATACATACAATATAAATGCTATGTCAATAGTTGTTATACTGTATTGTTTAGAGAATAATGACAAATAAAAGGACTGCACATATTTAGTAGAGATGTAACCATCCATTTTTTCCAACAAATATTTTCAATCTGCGGTTGGTTGAATCCACAGATGCTGGACCCCTGAATATGGAGGGCCAACTACACTAGAAACACACACGCTAGCTGAGAAAGATGGTGGCTTAAGGGTAAGCATGGAAAGAGGCAAGGAGGTGAGGACAGCAGGACTGATAGATAAGCTGGGGAGGCCAGAGCTCCACAAGGACATCCATTTCACTTATCAGAATCTAAAAATAAACACGTTGAGATACTAGAATCAAAGAATCCAAATTAGTTTCTGAACACATTTGAAAAGATCAAACTCTTACAGTTAAAAAAAAAATTAATCAGCCAGACATGGTGGCTCATGCCTGTAATCCCAGCACTTTGGGAGGCCGAGGCGGGTGGATCATGAGGTCAGGAGTTTGAGACCAGCCTGACCAACATGGTGAAACCCCGTCTCTACTAAAAATACAAAAATTAGCCAGGCGTGGTGGCACACGCCTGTAATCCCAGCTACTCAGGAGGCTGAGGCAGGAGAATCGTTTGAGTCCAGGAGGCAGAGGTTGCAGTGAGCCGAGATCATGCCACTGCACTCCAGCCTGGGCAACAGAGACTCCGTCTCAAAAAATAATAATAAAATAAAATAAAGTAAAATAAAGCCATAAATCAGGTAAAAGTGTAGCAATCCAATGAAATTATCCTCTTGATTTCCTTCATGTAGACTATAATGTCTCAAAAGAATGTATTTTGTATACCAAATACTACATGGTAATTTCTAGATACTCTGAAAATATTCTCAAAGTAATTATTATATACAAAATTTGAAAATTCACATCCTAAAAGCATTACAGAATACATTCATTTATTGGGTCTTATCTTAAATCTCCTTATTAGATATTCAATTCATTGTCATCCAAAATAAAAAAACAAACAACAAAATGCTTATGACAGAAATCACAAACAGATGGCTAAAATTTGAAATTGACCTCATCTCTGTTCTTTAGGATAAATGATACAGTAGTTTTTTCCTCTCTAGCCTAAACTGGCTTCTGGGTTTTCTGATAATTCACTGTACTAGTACAACATCATGGCAATTTGTATTTCCAGGATTTTCATTGTCTTGGTTATCATTTCCACCTTCTTCGTTATTCTCAGGAGATACACTCTCCTTTTTTTCTGTGGGAGTAGTAACTGTTTTCTCAGGTTGAGAATTCATGTTCTCAGCATTACTGTCCTTCTCTGTATTTCTTGGCTTGGCAGCTTCATTGCTGGGCTCTGGGCTGGGCCTGTCTGTCTCTTCCACAGGCTCTTTTGGTGCCACTTTTTTGTCTTCAGCTGTTTTGCTATTTAAATGAACAGCTGAGGAGGAATTTTTGGAGTCCTTGGCTTTTTTGTGCATAGAAGTTTGACTGTTATGACTGGAGGCGAGAGGGGAAGACATTTTCTGGGCTTTGCTTCCCTCCGACTGTTCTTTTCGAGGCGGTCCCCAGATAAAGTTCTCTGAAGGCGTGTAGTGTTTCTGGGCGAACCGCAGGAGCTTTCTCCTTTCTCTTCTGTCTCTAATTGTATAAACAAAATACTCTAGAGCACTCTGCTTAATATTGGGAATAGTATTCTCCACAAGAGCTTCATGAAGAATAAATTTTACAAGAGGAGATTTAAAACTTTCATATCCAAGCTCACCAAGGCTTTTAAGAATACGAGTGATTCTTAAATAGTTGTGCTGGGACCTGGAAGAGAGGATTGAATAAAATGAGTGGGGGAAATCAGGTGTAGGAAGGCAGGAGAATGAAAACTATTGGGAAAATATTTTTTATGGAAATGTAAGCCATGGAAATATGCTGTGTAATGACTTCCTAATGCCATATTTGATACCATTAAGAATAAACCAGAGGGTATTAAATCCTTAGGCCACAATGTAATGTCAATCTATGTGAAAGTCAAATGTATAAAATAAACTTCCCTTGTCTGTTGAGTTCTTCATATTAGAAAAATATTTAGGTTTAAATTTATTACCACTGTCAAATTGTTGCTTATTACTGAAAATACACTGAAGATGAATGATCTAACAGAGCATTTATTTGCACCAACATCAATGTACTGTACTCATCAGAGGTAACCATTGCTAAACATAAACACATTAGCTAACAGCTGACTGGTACAATTTATAGTGCCAGCTGATAAGCAAAATCCACCACGTAAGCCAACTCATAAGGATGGCGGCAAAAACTACTCTACTTTGCTAAAACAGTTCTGACAAAGGACACAAAACTGACTTATTTAGCAGAGCTTAGTTTAACAGTTAAGAGCATGGGCTTTGGAGTCAGACCTGAGTTCACACCCTGGCTCTGTAACTTAGCAGCTAAGTGAAACTATGTTTCTCTATGTCTCAATATCCTCATCTGTAAAATGGGGAAAAGTGCCCACAACTTACAGGACTGTTGTAAGAATCAAATGAGATGATACACATGCTGGGTATATAGAACTCGATAAGTACTAGATACTATTTAAAACTATTAGTATTATCATTTAAAGATACGAGATTAGGGACCACCATATTTGTACCTATCCAACTTAACCTAATTTTCTTCAATCTCTGGTCATTCTTTCCTCCTCTTTCCCTATCTGATAATTTTAAATCTTATTTCTAATGGTCTTGATTCCAAGGGTACATTTTCCCCCAGATTACACTAACATCTTTCCTCTCTATCACAAAACTAATGCCATTACTGGATGAATGTTTTCCAAATCTATTTTGTCACAATTCATAATGTAACTCCCCAAACTCACTCAGCTCAATCTTTGCTTTATTACACATGCCTGGTCAAATTCCAAAAGAATCATCAGCCACATGTATTAATCATAGGTGTTGTCAACAGCCCAGGTATTTATTTACCCAATATTGCCACATAACAATAACCATCACTTATTTCTAACTTCCTAAAGCCTGTTTTATATCTCAGACATGGAACTTTCTGCAAACATTATATATACCTGTCCTAGCTTCCAAAAATGCTTGAAGATTTTACTTTGAAATAATTAGCAAATTACTTGGGAAGCAGGGAGAAAGATGTTGATGAATTAAGGGATGGCAGAGTATGGTTCCATGGTCTTATGTTTCAATGAGAAAGTTTCTTTGGACAAAACAAAAACCTTAATGATTCATACTAACCAAACACTGGAAAAGCTAAGCCCAACAGTTCATCATCTTCATCTTTCTGGATGTTTACTAAAAAATTATTGTCTTAACATTCAACTGTGAAGCCCAGAGGGTAAAATGCAGCACAGATGTCTCAGTTTTACACATCTGTATTTTTGAATAGGAAGTAACACTCTTGAGACAATACAAATTTGGGTACAGTTAAGACAATGTGTCACTAACAGCAGGAACAACTTAGTTGTTACATTCCTATGGAGTTTGCATACTCTAAATACTTACTGACAAAACCCTTGGGCAATTCTGCCTCATATATCTATGAGAAAAAGATGTATAAAAAGGTGGAAGAATTCTTTTTTTAAAAAAGAGGAGCTCTATGACTAAACAAAATTTACTATATTTGCAACCAGCTCAATTTTATATAGCCAATCTTAGATGAATGCTGAAGTTAAAATTTCTGTACACATTTACTATATCTATATATGCTCCAATTAAAAATATTTACACAACAGTATAAAAGGAAAAAGACTTGGGTTAAAAAATGATGATGAGTATCCCAGAACAAAACTACAAAATAAAGCAATTGGGTGTTTCAGTATGATTTGTAATAAATGTCATAGTGAAAGACTAAATGGTATAGAAGAGAGTGGCAAAAATCCTTATAATGTATAAACCATCTTAGGGTTACACTATAGGAAAAAGAAAGAAGCTGAGGTTCCAGACAGAGGTTAAGGGTAGCAAATAGTGTTGAAATTGCAAGAAGTCTAGGTAGGTAAAGAGAGAAGACATACAAGGTGAGAACCAGGAAACAAAAAATAAAAGTTAAAAGGCTCCCCAGGGTCTAAATATGGCTCAGTAATCCAAGTTGATTACAAACAAAATTGAAAACACCTCTTAGTGGTTGGTCCATATATTTGTACTCTCATGTCTGAAAATATTTTGCCTCTTTTAGTCAAGGTCGCTTGTTCACTCAATGTTATTTTATTTTACTTTGATTCAATATTTTTCCTCTGCTTAGCTACTATAAATATATTGAGTTCCCTGCCTACTGTAAACTACTCAAGATGCCATATACATTAAAATACAAATAAGTTATGACATTTAAGAATAAGTCAGAAAAGGACCCAATTGAAGAAGAAAATAGAACAGACGTTTTCATAGAATCCTCTATCATTTGTTCAAATCTAGTCAGTAAAGATTTTTTGCAACTAAACTAGAGAAGAAACAGAGTGTTTTCTGGCAGATTCTAAGGCAGTTAATTCACAGCTGGAAAAGCTCTATGCTGACAATAGGTGGCAGAAAGAAAGGATGGGGCAGAGGAGTGAGAAGTGACTTAGTTCAGGCTCCCTTCCCCTGCCTCAACCCTGGAAATCATTTAATTAAAGCCTTAAAAAGAGACTCTGTTTCCACCTATAAATCAGAGGATATGATAACAAAACTCCAAGGAGGATTTAAGCTGAAGACCATATTTTGTTAATCATTTATTCATTCAATAAAAATTTATTAAGCAAGATTGCTATTCCAACCAAAAATAACAAGTTTGAGGTATCTAAAATGATAGTCGTTAAGTACATGAAAGATGAGGTACTATCAAATCCTTTCAAAAGATTTACTGTTACTATTGCTGTCTTTCATGTCAATAGGCTGCTGGCATGTAGCTCTTTCACAGTGTAATATAAGTGTTTAGAAACTCTGTCCAGAGCTAGCTACCTGTATTGCTTAGGTAGAGGTATATATACCTATGCTTTAAGTGCCCTACATAAGTCAAATTTGAGTTATGAGTTAATGGATCTTCTAGTCAGGAATATAAAGCTTTATGCCCATATCTTTAGCGTTTTAGTACAAACTACCATTTTAATATCATTGATTATAAGTAATAAAGTAAAAAGAAGGCTTTTTACTTCTTATAACATTAATATTTATACCCATCTGAATTGAACAATGAGAACACATGGACACAGGAAGGGGAACATCACACACCGGGGTCTGTTGTGGGGTGGGGGGAGGGGGGAGGGATAGCATTAGGAGATATACCTAATGCTAAATGACGAGTAAATAGGTGCAGCACACCAACATGGCACGTGTATACATATGTAACTAACCTGCACGTTGTGCACATGTACCCTAAAACTTAAAGTATAATAATAATAAAATTAAAAATATATATATTTATACCCATCTTACCAAAGCAAGGTGAAAGTTCTATAAAAACACATAAAAAAATAGTTAACTGATGCACAAAACGTAGACTGCTGTGGCCAAAGGAAAATTGCTTAGGTTAGTTTTAATTTTTTTGCTCTTAGTACTTGCTCAGTTTAGCTAATTATAATATGCTTAAAAGTACTTTAAAGCTGGTGGCTGTATAGGCCAGCATTCATAAATAATTCAACTATGATTAGTTTAAATGTAACTATAATTAGTTAAAATTTAACTATAATTAAAAAGAAAATAGACAGTGAATATGAAGAAAATATCAAGAAAAATAAACTTTGGTTATGAGTATTAACAAAAGTTATAAACATCCAACCAAATGAATACAGCAAAACAATTCCAAATAAACTATGTTAAAATGTTCTTCATAAGTTTTGGGACTTATTACCCAAAAATGAGTTTTTGTTTTTTACCTTAATAGTGAAGACAAGTGTAATTTTCTCTCTCTTTTAGTAAAAACTATGGGCCCATCTCATTCTTATAAAATGATTTTTATACATCATAGGCTTAATGCATGAATTTAATCTTAAGAAGGCATTATGCTTAGAAACAGATTGTGCCCCAAGAAGCTTACAGCCTACAAGAAGGAATACACAGAATTGTACACAAGCAATAACAATAAACTCAAAGAAATGTGGCATAAGGAGGAGGGAGAGAAGCAACATTTGGCTGTGGGCAATAGGAAGGTTTCAGGGAGAAACAGGTCTGAAGCTGAATAGCTGTGTTTCTACCTAGAATTTTGTTCCTTTTTGTTGTTGTTTTGTTTTGTTTTAGAATGTGGTACAGGAATGTAATGCATTTCAGACTAGCTTTTTAATCCAAATTCCTGGGCCCATCTCATCTGCTAGTTGTTCCTGCGTTTCATAGAGAACTCTGACCAAGGGAAAATAACTGTGCTGGCCCCTGATTTATCACAGGGGCTTTACTTACTCATTCAGATGCTGAAATCTTTCCTGCCAGTTAACAGCCCGAGCAACATTTCCAGTTTTATCAGTCAGTTTTATTCCAAAAAATTCTAGCATCATTTTATAAGCCAGGAGGAATCTTCTAATTGCTTCTTTTGTTTTTTTGAATTCCTAATATAAAAAATGAAAAAAGTCACCTGAAATGATTCAGTAGCTACAAGGACAGTGAAATAGCAATATTATTTGGCCACCCTGTATAAAATGAAATGAGCTTGCATTACCTCAATTTCATATGTAGTTAGTTCTTTGGCATAGAAGTTCAAGCCTTGTTCTCTCAGGGGGAAAAGCCTATTTATTTTAAAAAAATAAAATTTTTCTATTAACGTTGTCTGGAAAACATACATGATTAAATAGGACATGGTTCAAGATAGATAATATGTAACTGACCATTGAATGTAAGTGTGGTTGTGCTCCAGTTTTTCATAATCTCCTTTCCATTTACTTAGAACTTCTTCAATGTAAACACCTAAATAGTAAATATTTAAAAATGAACCAGACATTTCAAACATTGTGAAGGCATTTTAAGATTCGAATCACTTGAGTTTTATATGAAAACTTGTTTAAATTTAATAATAGCACACAAGAATAGTGCTTTTAAAAAGATGAATACCCTATGCCCATATATTCGGTTATGTGATAAATCTAATTAAAAAAAATTAATAGCACCTCAAATTGCACAAGGCTTTGTTGGACAATGTACTCTAAAGCAGAGCTTGGCAAACTGTGGCCTGCCAGCTGTTTTTTAAATAAAGTTTTATTGGAATATAGCTATGCACATTCATTTATGTACTGTCTATGGCAGTTTTTGTACTACAGTAGCAGAGCTGTGTAGTTGCAATACAGACCCACTGTCCCCCAAAGCCCAAAATATTTACTATTTGCCCCTGTATAGAAAGTTTGCCAATCCCAGTCCTAGGAGTTATATAGTTCTTTAAATGCTAAATTGGATCAAAATGAATTGCATCCTAGGGAAAAAGAAAGAAAGGGGAGTAGAAATAGAAGAAAAGAAATGAGAAGGAGAAAACAAAGGAGAAGGAAAACGAGAAAAGAAAAATGTAGGAAAAAGTTGTAAGTGCTTACTACATGCTGTGCCCATATTACACAGAGCGCACATTTTCCAGCTTAGTCTTCACAGAATGCTGCCAGTGTTATGATCCTCATTTTAACAATGAAGAAACTGGGAGATTTGTTCAAAGTTACACACTAGTAAAAAAGTAAATCTTGAGTGCAACATAGGTCTTTCTGGTTCCAAGAAGTAAGCCCTTTTCACCCTGTCCACTTTTCCTCTACAAGAACTTACAAAAACAAAATCCTCCTGTTCCTAAGTCTGTCAAGGTCCTTACAATTGACTAGCCATTTAGTCAATGTTGTAGAAAATAAAATAGCAATATAATATTTCTCCGAACATAACTCATCTCATTCTTGTTTCCTCCAGAGATCACCAGTTTGTAGTAGAGGCCCACTCTCGGAAGGTTTGGTAAAAAGTTGTTTTGAATCATAATGTTGGCTTTATTGGCATGTTGAAACCATTTACCTCTGTAATTTTCCATTTGTTTTCCTTTCCAACTACCACTCCTCCTGCCTGATAAATAAATACCATTGCAAGATTATGCTTACTGGCAAGTAGTGTGTGTGTGCGTGTGTGCGTGTGTGTGTATACTAGGGAGGAAAGTGAGTTGATATAATTTGTATAATAAACTAGGATAAACATTTTATCTGACCTTAGCTAAAACTTCTGACCCCCACCAATCATAAGATTTCAAAATAAACTTTGTAGTAAAGATTACCAAAAATTCAATATATTGCTTGAAATTACTTTTTAAATTAATATTTACAAAATAAATTCCCTAGTAGAAAAAAATAGAGTTAAATACTATCATAGCTTTATGTTTAATATTTTTAATATGTGAAGGCATTCCTTTAGGAAAATTGTATGAAATTCAAATCAGACTCAAATTAACAATCTATCATTGCATTTCTTCAAAATATTTTTCTACCCCAAGTCCTAACAAAATGAATAATTTGGCCAATATTTTTCCATTAGTAAATAAAGCAGCACATTTCTATCATTAGTAAATATAACTGTGCAATTTTATCCAGAGGTTTCATTCCACATCACAGCAGACTTTCAGGACACCAGAAAGTTAAAGACAAGTAGATCTGGCCACGTCAACGATGTTCTCAAATATTAACTCCCAACTGGTAGGTCTGTTGGTACACAGTACTGGGACTCCCTCCTCCCAAACTCAATCCAGGCTTTAGACCTCTTGCCTCGAGTTAGTTCACCAAAGAATGCAAGGTCCTGCCACTTGAAAGCCTTGCAGTCTATCTCCTTCCTTCTGTGACTCACACTGCTGTGGAACTGGCTCAGTTTCCACTGAGAGCAAATAGCAGAAGCCAGGGCAGTCTGACCACCTCACACAGAAAAGGGCTCTTGGGAGAGAAGCCAGCTTTCCTAGGGTGACCTGGATAAAATTAGGATGACCACCATGAACCACAGCATGATGCCTCAATGAAATATGCAATGTTGTGGTCATATTACCATAGCAGCTGCATCTTCTCACTATGGGTTTGGAAAATATCCTAGGAGGGCAATTGCAGAGTTGGGAAGGAGACAAGTGTATTTGGCAGAGTTGGATGGAGATCTACTGTATCTGCAGTTCCCTTCCCAGAATATTGGAACTCCAAACAGGGATTGCTGTAGATTGCTGATACTGAATCTGAAAACTGACAGGAAAGATAATTCTAAATACAAACAGCACTTTTCAATCACATGCTAAATAGTTTTCAGCTATGGCACAATGGAAAGAACAGTGGACTCTAGAACCTGCAATCGAGTGACCTAAGCTTTAAGTCCTAGTGACCTAATCTTTGAGATGAGAAAGCTGAATTTGATCTTCTCTACTGTTCCTTAATAACCTAAAATTCTATGGTTCTATACATCTCCTCTCTCTTCCTGTCACAAAAATTGTCCCTACTATCTTTCAGATAATAGCAATGTAAATAAGAAAGATACCATTAATCCATAGCTCTTCCTCCAGAATTTACCAAGGGGACACATTAGACTGCATAGCAAAGTAAATCCAATCAATGAAACAAACCACAAAATAAAGAATAACCAAGTGTATGTGATTATTTAAAGTGCAATTTATCAAGTAGTACGTTACTCACCATCTGGCTTGAATGGAATTTTATTCTTATAAAAACGAAGATTGCTCAAGTCATTTTGATATCGGATATCTTTGAAGTTCTGCTAAAGGAAAAAATAAATCAATCTCCAGCACATAGAAATACAGTAAAGATACAAGGACCCTTCATGCATGTTTTCTCAGTGGCACCATAAAAATTTAAAAACAGAAGGAAAATAGTTTACAGTTTAAAACATAGCATTCTATACTCTTACTGGGTACTGGTGTCGGTACTTGTACAAATCCCTGGCAGCATAAAAACTTCTCTTTGGTTTGGCAGTTGCTTCAGTGGAATCACCACCCTGAAATAAAAGGTGAAACTCCGTTTACATGTTGACGCAAGATAATTTCACAAAGAAATTTCCAGAACAAACTTAAGGAAGATCCATAAAGAAAGCCTGAAAATTGTCAATCTGTCCAGATTAATGAAAATATTATAAATATTCCTTTAATAACGCTTACTAGCAATATTTCTTAGCATCCTATTTTTCTTATTTGAACCAATAACATTTGTCCTAAGATATATTACTGAATAAAACACTTTATTATTAACCAAAAACCTAAGAGGCCAATGTTATGGATCAATATCCATCAAAAATGGAACTCAAAAAGGAATTCAAGACATTTATTTACCAGATGATTATGCAAGTGATTCTATGATAAAACTTATTTTAGAATATTTTACATAATACTAAGAATGTGTTAAGTTACTAAATCAATTCTACAAAGAAAATTGTCATTAAATTTGCAACATTTAGCTGTACTTGGAAGTCAAGTAATATTTATGAAAAGAAAGGATTTTAAAACAAACTAGCTTTCTAAACTCCATCCTTTATAATACCATGACAAGTACACAAAGGCATGAATAATCATCTGTTCACTGAATGATAATACAATGTGATATAAACATTTAAAATATATACACACAAAGCAATAAAATGCTCTTAAATGGAATGGTGTCCAATTGAAACAACTTATACATGGTAGTTTACTCATACTGTTCAAACTCTTAAGTAAAATTCCTATCACCATGAACTGATTTTTAAAGTATAAGATGTGGGTTAAAATAATCGATTTGCATTCCCTATATGTACTATTATAATGTATGAGAAAGTGCTGATGACAATCATGAAAAAGAAAAACTTTAGACCTTTAAGAGTCATTAAAAGCTTTGCCCCAAATTCTTTTCTCCTCAACCCCTGTCCTCCATCTGTGTTGACAGATTGGCATCCTCTAAGTAATTTTCACACATTTTTGAAGTGGTGTGATTCTCACTATTACTACAAGTACCGAGTTACTTCAACATCAAATCTTCTGATGCTTAACATTAGTTACGCTGTCATGTTACATAAGCAAGGAAAAGCTTGAATTCTGGTCCTTGCCACACGTTTCAAAATAGCTCTGCCTAGCAAGTTTCTGAATCTATTTAGCCTGAGATACAACCATATGAATCATCATCCTACATTTGTATAGAAGGCACTCTCCATTTACAAAGCACTTACATATATAGCGAATAGACAACAAACAGGGTTGACAGTCAAAAGGCATTATTTCATTTGATTCTTAAAACACACCTGATTGACAGTTAATAAGTGTTTCCATCTTAGAAACAAGATATCAGGGGCTTAGAGAAGTTGCACACCACCCAGAGTCCAGTGACAGTGCAAGAACAAGAATCCCAGGCTCTGGGTCCCAAGTCCAGGTCTGAATCAATCTCAGTCACACTAAAAAATGAAGGATATATGGAAACCTTGGTGTAGTATCAGTAGCCCAAGACTTGGAGTCAGAAGACTAGCAATCTGAACGCTGCTTACTTGTATTTGTGAGGCCTTAAGCAAATCATTTAGCTGAATCTTAGTTTTATCATCTCTGAAATAAAGATAATGACTCAAGCCCTACCTATTTCTCAGGATTATCATAAGAATGTCTGTGTCCTGCCAGCATCTGCTCCTGCTCTTCCAACCCCTATTCCCTTTGGACTCTCTACCCAGACCCCTTTCACCTGCTCAGACAAGGATTCTGTTGTTCAATATTGTTCCTCTTTCCTGGATCATCAAAATTTCCCTCTCTTCTCGATCTCAAACAAACATGCTGTAGTATCTTTAATCTTAAAATAAACATACAAAACATTCCTTGACCCAGGCCTACCATCAATTACAGATCCATATATCTACTCCTTTTTTATAGCAAATCACCACCAAAGAATTGCCCATACTTTGTTTCCTTCTTTTCTTTCCCCATTTTCCCCTGACCCACCTCAATCAGGCTTTTGTCCTCAGCACTCCAACAAAATAGTTCTTGTGAACTTCACCAATAAGTCTCCATCTTGCCAAACCATTTCTTAATGTTCACCTCAGGTGACCTCCCAACAGAACTGGGCCAATTAAAGCATCCCTCCTTCCTGAAACACTGTCAGTATTTGGCTTACAGGCTACTATAACTTTCTTAGTTTACTTTCTGTCTCATTGGGCTCCCCTTGTCAGCCTCCTTTTTTGGCTCCTCCTCCTCTTCATACCCTCTAAATGGAGGGGTGCCTAAGGTCCTCAGTCGTCATCACTCCTTGATAACCCCTTATCTTCCCATGCCTTTAAATACCATTGATCTCAGATGCTGAGGACTCTAGTCCTGGACTGTCTCCATTCATAGATGTAATTTAACTACCCAACAAATGATTAACTACCCAACAACTCTACTTGGATGTGTAATAGGATATCAAACTCAAGAGAATCGTTGATTTAACCTCCATAGCTGCATTCTCCCTAGACTTCCCTGTCTTGGTTAATGTCACCATCATTTGTTCAGTATTCAGAGGGACTAGGATGATGCAATGGAAGTGGTGTGAAGGAGTCAGTCTGGGATACGCTTTAAAAGTAGCTCCAGTATTACCTGCAAGTGGATTGACTCTGAGGAATAGACAACAAATAGGGTTGGCAGTCAAAAGGCAAAATTGAAAAGCAGATTTTTTGGGGAAGTCAGATGGTGATACTAACAAGAAAAATTAATCATTAAAAGGGAATAGGGAGGGCTGGTGTAGTCTACTAGTTACTGGGGTTGCAGTTAACTGACTGAACATTATTAAAATGTTTTATATAGATGGACCTGGTTAGTTGGATTGAATCTTAGCTGGTGTTTTTTGATATTCCAAATTTCTGTAGGAGGTTACTTAATTGGGAGACAAACGTAAGGGAAAAACATGAGAATGCAGCATCTAATAATTTAATAAGATTGAATTAGCAATGCAAAACAACAGCGGCAAACCAGACACAGGGGCAGATGGAAATTCAGAATTCCACAGGTCCAAGGCGCTGATATCAGTGATAGATAGACTTGGGTTTGCATCATCCTCTCCCTCAGTGATCTTGGGCAAGTTTTCCTTTCTCTCTAAGCCTCAGTTTTCTCTAAAATGGAGACCACACAGCAAACACCCACCCCAAAATTGTAGTTCATTTAAATAACACGTTTAACACAGAGCCTGCACTAAGACTTTATGATTTCCTCCTTACCTAAATAGAATTGATCATCAAGATGGCTGAGGCGGTGTTAGCTGTAATATTTAGGTTATGATTCCCCCAAAACCCTGTGGTCACATTGGACTTTGGGCTCCATTTTCCCAATCTCCATCGCCCCTAGCTGATAAAGAGAAGGGCCTAATGTGGAGCGGCAAACCTGAACCACCTCCAGGATGCACACTTCTTCAGGGGGTCGGCTACATATTTCCTCCTTTTTAAAGTTCCTGATTATTTTCAGTCCATCAGAGGTTAAGGGGCTTATCTCTTGACTAACCTCTCCTCCAAGCTGTATTAGTCAAACAGTTCAAACACAGTTGGATCAACAAGTCTTCTGGTGAAATAAGATTCGTGAAGAATGCCCTGAATCCTAGGTTGAAAGGCCTGAGTTGGGCAGAACAGTGACGTATGAACTTCAGATGAGGGCCTACACTTCTGACGGCTTAGACCCCACTGTAGGGGAGAGCGCTGGCTGCTTGCACTTGTAGCCCCACCTTATTCTGAGTAATTTTTTTTTTTTTTTTTTTTTTTTTTTTTTTTACCAATAACACACACTAGAGGGGTTGTCAAAATCCTCTATTTTTAGACAGGTTCCTCCCACCCCACCTTCGCATAATCCAGCTGCTCTGCAGAGGCAAAGAAAACACCCATTCAAGTTGGGTTCTGCCTTGAGGGACTTCCTCGCCGTGCCCTCGGCCAGGCCCCAGGCCGGCAGTGGGAGGGTCCGGCGCTTTGGGCTCCTGCAGGCCCCCGGGCTCCACCGGGAGACAGGTCAGCCGCGGCGCGGAGGGGTCGGGTCGCAGCGGCGAGCAGCCACCTGGCGCCCCTGGCCTCCGAGCGCGAGGGCGGCTTGGCACTTGCCCCTCTGGGGTGTCGGGGCGCCCCAGCCCGACCCGAGGCCACCGCTGGGCCGCGTACCTGCTCGGCGCCCGCCGCCTCGGCGTCCTCGTCCGGCGCGGGGCTGGCGCCGGGCCGCCCGCCGGCTTGCTCCGGGGGCTGCGCGGGCTGCTCGGACTCCTGCCCCGGGCCCTCGCTGCCGCCGCCCGGCCCTGGTTCTTCGGGCTCGGGCTCCGAGTCGGTCTGCCAGGTGGAGTCGCAGTCCTCCACGGTGGTGGGCTCGCGGAAGCTGACCCCGCCGAGCAGGTTGCCCATTGAAGAGGCGGCGGCGGGCGCGGGGCTGCGGGGCTGCGGGGCGCAAGCTGCGGCAGGCGCTCTAGGGCCCGGGCATGGCCGCGGCGAGGGCGCTGGGCGGCAGCCTAGGCGCGCCCGCCCCGCACTGCCTCAGCGCGGCGAGCGGCGGACAGGCACCCTCGCGGGGAGGAGCCGGCGGCCCCGGGACCGCCGCCGCGCGCGCCTGAACCCGCCCATCCGGCTCCTTCTCCTCCCCACAGGCGGGAGCTGCCGCCGCCCAGAGCCCCCAGGGGAGCCAACTGCGGCCCCCAGCCGAGCGCCACCGGCCCCAGGCCGCGCCTCCCTTCCACGTTTCTCCCCGGAACACCTGCCTTCACGCGGCCCCCGGCGGCCCCCGGAGTGGATTGGGGTCGGCTACTACCCTCGCCGCCCGGAGCCGGGGGACGCCCTCCCGGGGCATCTCCCAGCTGAGCGGGATGAGGGATCCCGCCCAGCTCCTGGAGCTGAGGACTGGCGTGGACGTGGTGTCGAAGAGGTGTCACCGTCAGCAGGCGGGTCCTGTCCACACCCCCTCCCCCTCTCCCTGGTCCAGGAGGAAGACACTTTAGCTGCAGCAGAGGACAAAAGCTGATGGTGCCGGGCACCATATAAACAGGAAATCCCAGCTGCCACAACTGTACTTAGGGCAGCCACCTAGAGTCCTTGTGGTCTAGAAAAAGTCAGAGCTATCAGTCACCTCATCTAATGAGCAATCGCTCGTGAAACAAAAGGAACAGTAACAACTGGACCATCACATTGATTTGCGGGTAACCTTACACCCACTACAAATTGGTGCTCCGTGTAGGCAAAAATCTCAGAATCAGTAGAACAGATGGGCTGTTTCTAATGGAAGAAGCCTCGGCCCTGTGGTCTGTTCTGCAAATGAAAGGAGGAGGGAGAACTGTGTTAGGGAAGTTCTTTCTTTTTTCTGTTCTGTTCTGTTCTGTTCTGTTCTGTTCTGTTCTGTTCTGTTCTGTTCTGTTCTGTTGTTCTGTTCTTTCTTTTCTTTCTTTTTGAGACAGAGTCTCCCTCTGTTGCCCAGGCTGCAGTGCAGAGGCGCGATCTCGGCTCACTGCAACCTCCGCCTCCTGGTTTCAAGCAATTCTCCTGCCTCAGCCTCCCAATAGCTGGGATTACAGGCATAAGCCTATAGAAGTACGTAAAGATAAGGTAGTATTATCAAATATGTGACCCAGAGAAAAGTGACTGTTGTAAAATGTGTCTTCTGGCTTTCTAACTAGAAGGGAAGCCTCTTTGCAGGCAGCCCCCGTCTGAAAGTGTGTCTGTATTTACAGTGCTGTCAACTTGGTGGATGCTCAGTAAACATTTGTTAAATATGGACTAAGAAAGATGAGCTAGATATTTGAAGATTAAACTGTTGAACTTGGAATGAATAGTTTCTTTTCAAATGTTTCATGATGAAGTAGGAAGCCAAATCATGTTAGATGGACTGTTTCTAAGGGAAGAATCAGGTAAACCAGCTGCCTATTCCATGGATAAATCAGGATTACCTAAGCTCTTCATGCACTGCAACAAGACATCTAGGCTGTAGCTCTGTCACTAATCAGTTTCTGACTTTAAGTAGGTCACATGAACCTAAACTTCCTCATTTGTAAAATGAAACCAGATCTCTGGGAGCCCTTCCAGCTCTGACCTTCTGTGATCCTATGACTGGGAAAAGCTCTGAAACTAATAAGAAATAGACACGGGGTGCACAAAAAGACTTTTGGGGCCGGGTGCGGTGGCTCACGCCTGTAATCCCAGAACTTTGGGAGGCCGAGGCGGGCAGATCACCTGAGGTCAGATGTTCAAGACCAGCCTGGCCAACATGACGAAACCTCATCTCCACAAAAAAATATAAAAATTAGCCTGGCTTGGTGGCGGGCGCCTGTAATCCCAGCTACTTGGGAGGCTGAGGCACGAGAATCACTTGAACGCGGGAGGTGGAGGTTGCAGTGAGCTGAGATCAGGCCACTGCACTCCAGCCTGGGCGACAGAGTGAGACTCCATTGCCCCCACCCCCCGCCAAAAAAAATACTTTTTGATTATAATGGCTTAGCAGAAGAAGATGTGGGGCAGCCACATACCACAGGAATCCAACTGCTCAAAGCTGGGAATTCGATTTTCCGTTGGTAGAAGACCGGAACACATTGCAGAAGTAGATATTGTCCATCCAGCCTTAAGTGTTCCGAGATTGTTGATGTGGAAAGTCTAAGGATAGTTGTTGTGTCCCAGGCGCTCCATCTGTTGGTTTAGGTGTATGTAGATTAAAGTTGGCCACATGTTCTTTGCTCTCTTCCCATTGAGAAGTAGTCTTATTCCTTACTCTTGAAGGAGCTGGCCTCAGTGACTTGCTTAACTATAGAATATGAAAGAAGTGATAGTCCAGGATTTTCTAAGTTAAGCCATAAGGAACCTTGCATTTTCCACTGGGTCTCTTGGAATATTCTCTCTGTTAGCCCCATGCTGCCATGTAAAAAGTTCAGCTAGCTTGAGACTGCCATACTCCTAGAAAGGCCACTTGTGTGTGGCCTCTGGTCATCCTCTGGTCATGGTACCAGCTGAGGCCTACCTTCCAGTATCCCCTGCTGGATTCCACGTTTTTGTTTTTTTTTTTTTATTGAATCCTCCAGACCAACCCATCCACCATCTGAATACCTTTCAGTGACCTCCATCGACCCTACTTGGAATAAAGGGACTACCCAGCAAAGCCCTGCTCAGATTTCTGACCCACAGAAGAGTGAAATGCAATAAAATGGCTGTTGCTTTAGGTCACTAAATTTTGTAGTAGTTTGTTATACATCAGTAGATGATGGAATGGTGAGAAGTATCTGTGTTTGTGCATATAAACATTTAAGTAACTACTGCAATTAAATCCTTCCCTTTTACACCACCTTTTGAAAAATGTGTCAATTTTTATAGGACCATAGATGATATGCCAGATTTTGCAATATATTTTCTAAAGAACATAATTTTACATGAAGCGTAACACCAACCTTATATAATATTTAATCAATTTTAAGTTTAGAGCAATAAGCACGACCACATTGTGCCCAATCTATGTGTTATTTTTACAAGTTAATGCTGAAGTTCTGTCATCCCAAGCTTCTATACACAGGAATTATCCTTCTCGAATACCTAAACTTTTTTCATTATCCCTGCCTTGCAGAGTATTTAACATTCCTGCATCAACAGTAAAGAAGGGTACCTTTGCTTCATATAAAAATCATCACTTAGCTCAGTGCCAGGCATCTATTAATTTATCAATATATGTTAGCTGTAATGATGATTCATTCAATATGTCTTTAAAGAACATATAATTCAACAGTAATATACACATGTATGGAACAAGGAGAAACTATTATCACAATGGACTATAATATAGTTTCTGACTCCCTGTAAATAGAATCTGCTCTAAATTAAGCAGATGCTATAGCCATGCTTCAATATAACTCTGTTTTCAACTTCGTTATGAAATCCTTTAAGGGTGAGGCCATTTTACAAAGGACAAAGAAACTGGTGCTTCAGGAACTAAACTTTTTTGGATGAAACCCAAATGTATCTGGCATATCTTGAATTGTCTTTTATAGTCAATCCTGTTTTAGGGACATTAACAAAGGTTTATTATTACATAATTTGAGAGTCTTTCAAATAAAAGGAAAGGGCAGATCAAGGGCCATTTTCCCCAACCTCAGGAGTTAACTCCTCAGTACCTCACAGGAACCTGAAATCTTTGGAGGAAAAAAAAATAGTATTATTTTAAAAATTAAAAATAATAAAGATGGCTCTCTAAAGAAACATCTGAAATTAGTAGTAACATGCTGTAATATTATTTTCCATTGACTGTAGCCAAGGGCCTCTGCTAGCACCCATGAGAACTTTGTGTTCTTGAGAATAAGACACCTTTGCTCCAGGGCTTAGTGAGCAGGGCCTGAACTGGAGTTCCCTCCCACCACCTTAACTGAACTCTTCATGCAGGACACAGCATGTACAACCTCACATAGAGTTCCTGACCAGACAAGACTTGCTGGAAATTTCCCAGGATCTTCCTTCCTTAAGGTAGGAGTTTATAATAGGTTATAATTTATGAAAACAAAATATTTTTTCCTCCTTCCTCCCTGCAAATATTCTATACTTTTTGTATGATTCTGAGATATCTTCTCCTGTATCCTTGCCAACCACTAACATCACCATAGCCCCTCTTACAAAAATCTTTCTTTCTTTTTGGACAATGCAATTGTGCAATTCAGTGTTTTTCTGCATGTTTCTTTTATCTTTCTAAGGCTTGTTGCAAAAATATCTCTGCTGTCCATTACCTCTTCCTTAATATTCTTTCTTCTTATTCTTCTCAAAGAAATGACCAGCAATTAAAGCAATTCCTGTATACCAAAAACAAAGCTTTCAAGGTTGTTTTAAATGGGATACAGAAATAAACACACATACGTCTAATTTCAACTAAACTGAACTTGTAGTAGCAAAGAGATTTCTGCATTTTTTTTTCTTTTGAGATGGAGTCTCGCTCTGTCACCCAGGCTGGAGTGCAATGGCTCAATCTCAGCTCACTGCAACCTCCGCCTCCTGGGTTCAAGTGATTCTCCTGCCTCAGCCTCCCAAGTATCTGAGACTACAGGCATGCGCCACCATGCCTGGCTAATTTTTGTATTTTTAGCAGAGACGGGGTTTTGCCATGTTGGCCAGGCTGGTCTTGAAACCCTGACCTCAGGTGATCCACACAGTTCGGCCTCCCAAAGTGCTGGGATTACAGGTGTGAGCCACCGCGCCCAGCCTGCATTTTTTATTATAGATATAAAGGGTCAAATATTTTACTATCAAATATTGGTAACAAATGAATTGAATTCCCTCACTGGCACCTAAACTGCTGCCAAGACTCTTCTGAACCCGTGTGGTCTTCCAAATCTTATATATCAAATGTATCAAAAAATAGCAGGATATGTTGTGTGTGTACTGCTGGGGTTGTTTATTTGTTTGTTCGTTCATTCATTTTTGTTATTCTCACTTAATTTTTTTCATCAGCATCCATCATGGGAAGCCACCTTGCCCTAGGGAGAGCTCCTGACCTAGGGTCAGGAATATATTAAGGAAGACAGCAATTAATACATTCAAAAATAATAATAATTACAAATTGTAAGTATAATGCAGGCAAAGTGAGATCATGGGGTTTTGGCTTTACTCTGGGAGTCAGAGAATTTCTCTGGGGAGGTGACATATAAGGGAAGAAATGAAAGACAGGAGAGAAATTAGCCTGACAAAGAGCAGAGAGAAGAACATTCCTGGCAAAGATATTGGCATGGACAAAGGCCCCAGGCAAGAACAAGATTAGCCCCTACGGCCAGAGTGGCCAGAGAACAGGTGCGTGAGGTGTGTAAGGGACAAAGCAGGCCAGGGCATTTGATTTAAGGTTTTTGGATATTGGTTCATTTTTCAAAAACCAATCTTTAGCCTCTTTCATCAAAAGCAACCCTGTTTTCATTATTTCTGGTAGTTCTTTTTGTTGGTTTTATTATTTCTTGGTAAAGTAACAGATAGGAAGTAGATGACGGACCTGGCTGCATGTGTCAGGTGCCTTTGCAGCCTTTTCCAGGCCACTGGAGCATTGCTAATACACCAAAGCAATAACGTATTGCATTTCATGGAACCTAAGAATCATTTATTCTCAAATGCATCTTATTTCAGAGATATTTAAATGTAAAAACTTGTACATTCTAGAATTCATGCATTATGGTTTGCTGAAAGAGAATGTTTAACTTTACAGAACTAATTTATTCCTAAGAAATAGTTTACAATTCAAAGGCCAACTCTAAACTCATAACTGATACTGAGTATTTTCACAGCTTAAAGACTTTTTTTTACCAATCGCACTAAAGTTGTTAATAAAGCAAAGGTAAAAGGTCCATAGAATGTATGAGTGTTGAATTAGTGCATAATAACATATCAGTGGAGCTAAGTTGAAATTAATATAAGAATTCAGTTAATCATCATTTGCATAAATTCAGCCTGTAGACTAAAAATAGGGCCATATTTAAATTTTAAAAATAATGACGTGTTCAAATACAATGTTTAGAGTTCTTATTTGGATAATTCAGCAGCATTTAGACCATATTTTGATATAAAAAATAGTATAAATACTATGAGATATAACATATTTGACTTCAAAAAAGAAAAGAAAGAAGAAATTTTGCCCCTACCCTCCAAAATTATTGCTTATTTTCCCTGAATAAAAATAGATATGTATTCCACAATCTTTTTTTCCCAATTATTATATTGAGTATGTATTCCTATTTTATTTAATTTTTATTCTTGATCCTTGAAATTTATCTGTTCTGAAGCATTACAAGTAACGGAATAAAAAATGGATGAGTAAACACACTGGACTCTCCCCTGGCTCAGAAGGGCACTTGTCATTAAATCTGTAGCCAAGGAATATGTGATTCTTAATGGGTTTCCTGCAGCCTTCCTTGGAGTTTCTGCCTTCTCTTTATCTTATAAAAGGACCCCAAGGGCAGTTGGCAGGGATGGGTTTCCTCCAGGCTCCTCTGAGTGCAGATGATTCTGAGGATACATCACAACCAGAAGTCCTGCTGTCACTGGGTCTTGGGACATACCACAGGGGATACCGGTAGATGCATTTGGCACTTTATCCTAAAACCTAATTGCAGTCTCAGTGCACCAGAGGAACCAAATCATGTTCCTGCCCAAAGAAAAGTCCAGGCTGCTTAAGCCTAAACCAACCCCAGACTCTGGTCTGGCCTTCCATGAGATGGGTGTGCTGTTTTGGGGATGGGTAAAGACTAATTCCTTATAGACTGTCAGCAACTTCATTAGGAGAGAACTGAGGTATGGCTATAGGTGTCAGGGAGAAATACAATTAATCCAGATGCCCATCTCTTCAAAGATAGGGGACATCCTATCAAGCAACAATTGTTTCTTCCAGGCTTCATAGCTTACAATTACCTTTAGAAGTGTGCCTGGAGAATAGATTTGCCTTAATTCAAAACTTTTCTTTCATGGCCAATCATCTGTTGTACCCAGTTTCCAAGTCAGCCCTAATGATCTTCACTTCCTGATATTCAGTCCCCTCCCATACTGAATGCGTGTCCTATGTGACCAGTAAAATGTGGCAGATGTAACGGCATGTAACTTCTAAGGCTAGGTCATAAAAGGCATCACAGCTTCCACCTTGGGATTGCTTACTCTAGGGGAAGCCAGTTGCCATGTCATGAGGACACTCAAGCAGGCCTGTGGAGAGGCTCACAAGGAGAGGGACAGAGCTCCCCTGCCAACAGACAGCACTAACTTGCTGACAGTGAGAGTAAGCCACTTTGGAAGAGGATCCTCCCTGCAGCCCCAGTCAAGCCTTCAGATTCCTGCAGTTCTAACTGACATCTGCCTGCAACCACATCAGTGGCCCCTCCCTTCCATCACTTAAGCAGTGTGAGCTATCCAGCCTAGCTCTTCCTAGATTCCTGACCAACAGAAAAAGTGAGAGAAAATAAATGATTATTGTTTTAACCCACTATATTAGTCCATTTTCATGCTGCTGATAAAGACATACCTGAGACTGGGTAATTTATAAAGAAAAAGAGGTTTAGTGGACTCACAGTTCCACGTGGCTGGTGAGACTTCACAATCATGGTGGAAGGCAAAAGGCACATCTTACATGGCAGCAGACGAGAGAATGAGAGCTAAGTGAAAGGGCAAACCCCTTATAAAACCATCAGATCTCGTGAGACTTATTCACTACCATGAGAACAGTATGGGGAAACCACTCCCTAATTCAATTATCTCCCACCAGATCCCTCGCACAACATGTGGGAATTGTGGGAGCTACAATTCAAGATGAGATTTGGGTGGAGACACAGCCCAAGCATATCAGCCACTGTATTTTGAAATGATTTATCACAAATCATTGGAGTAACTAGAACATCATAATTGTGTCATTAGTCACCAATTGTATTTATTCCACAAACTTTTATCGAGCACCTGTTATATGTCAGGCCCTTTGTTAGGCTGGGATACAAAGAACTACAACACACAGTTGTTGCTCTCAATCCTTGGGAACACAGATGAGTAAATATGAATGACAGCACAAGATCCCATGAACAAAATGCTGTAAGAACACAACAAAAGAGGAATGATTTTCTTTCCTTTGTCAATAAAATAAGTTATTTATTTTTTCAATAAAAATGTACTTAGTGCTTTCTAGGAGCCAATCGCTGTGATCTGTGATAGATGCTGATAAAAATATGGTGAACGAGACACAAACCTTTTCCCAAGGTCAATGTCAAAAGCTGAGGAGATACCATTTAGAAAAAAGCTAAAATGAGGCCATCAAATTTTGCATATTGTGACCTTAGTGAGAGCAATTTCTGTAAAATGGTGAAAATAGATAAAAAATTTGAATAGGAAAAGGAGGAAGAGTCTGCTGGTATAGAACATATTATTTTTTCAAGAATGTTAGTGACAAAAAGGAGAAAAGAGAAAGGTCAAGAACTTGGTTCTCCTGCTTACCTTCCATAAGCTCAGCTGATTTCATCACCAGTGACTTTCTTCCCTTCTTCACTGGAGCTGGAGATACAGGTGACACAACAACGCTGACCTAAAATAGGCTCAGGGCACTAGCAGGACCCTGAGAGTGAATGCCTCCTTAAATTTTGCACCCTAACCATCTTACTCACTTCACTCTAGTCCCAGCCCTGCAGGTAAGGGATTGCTTCTTGATGTTAAAATGAGCTTTAGACAAGATAGAAACAACTGTTACAAGCTTCATCGCTGCTTAAAGACAATGACATGATGCATTAATGTAGAAAACTAACGTTCAATAACTACTGATGATAGTAGACATTCCCAAGGATAAGCATGTATAAGCAGAGTGGGTTAATTGGAGAGACTGGCTGGCTCCTCCCACCTCTAACTGGGTGGCATTCCCCACGGAGAATTGAGCAGGGTAGAGAGGCTGCCTTCGGACTTGAGGATGCTCACTCACACTAACCTGCTCTGGGGCTGAGCTCTCAAGAGACTACCCTGTAAAACCAGAATGCCAATCTTAATTCACAATGGCAACTGTAACTAGTAAGCCTAGTGCATGCCAGTGTCTGCCCACCCAGCTTGGTGAGCCTGAAATCAGAACAGGAGATGCTATGGGATTTAACTGTTAAAAGATCTTAAGGTCCCAAAGTCTGCAGCCTCCTTTTGTGTATGATGGGGGGCATAGCAGTGTACCCTCTACCCTAGAAAATGTTCTATTGGGCACACTGTGCCTCTTAGATGCTGCCTTTTCTGAGGATACATAAATGATTAAACTACTTGAGTGGATGATTCAGGGAGGATATTCTAAATGTATAATAACCCATACGTCATGGGCTCCAGTCAAGCAGAATGCCAGCAGGAGGGGGCACTGCTGGAGGCTCCCTGTTCTGCCAACTGCTGGATTGCGGGGAGTTCCAGAGTGTCTGGGAGAGGGAAGCAGTGCTGGGGGTTTGGGTATCATGACTACTTATCAACCACCTGGAAGTATTTTGATTTTTGATGATTGGCAGTCTGATTTTCAGTCTTCTTCTTGTATGTGAATATTGTGATCAGGGCACAGGCTGCCTTGGAAGCCTTGCAGCCATTCTTGCGGTGGTAACTTCTCTTTTTAACCTGAATGCATTTAATGCTGAATCAAAATTTAGTTCTCAGAGGAAAACCATATTTCCCAGTTCTTAAAGACACCCCATTGTTACCTCAACTATTACCTCTAATAAATATTATCAAATTGCAATGGCATTGATATTTTTCTTTCTCAGAACCTTTTATAAGAAGTGATATATATTAGGTTCTTCTTAAATTCTTTCTAATAAATTAGATGAATGAACAAACAATGGGAGTATTCTAATTACAATTTGCATTTCCATAAATGGCTAATAATAGTGGAATATCTTTTTATATAGTTATCTATTTGTCCATCTGTATATTTCCCCTGGTAAAAATGTTGCTTCAGATATTTTGTTCATTTTGAAAATTGCATTGTTTCCTTATTGTTCAATGTTGAGAGTTCCTTGTGTGTTCTATATACAAGTCTTTTTTTGGAGGGACACATGATTTGCTAATATTTTCTCCCAACCTATAGCATGTCTTTTCATTCTCTCAGTAGTATCATTTGCAGAGCAAAAGTTTTAAATTTTGATAAAAAATAAATTTATGACTTTTCAAAAATTGTATGGATGATGTGTTTTTTTCACATCTAAGAACTCTTTGCCTAACACGAGATGTCCATGAGAAGATCAGCCTGCTGAGAACAGGCCTTCATAAACTTGAATGAGAGATAAAGACAGACCAGCAAAGCCAAGCTCCCATCTTAACAAGGGGTGTGGTCTTCTCAGTACTCTCTCTCCCTCAGCTGTAGTTACGGTCCTGTAGATATTCTAGTGCCTCACCCAGGGTGGGGTGACCAACTCCTCCCAGCTTGTCAGGGACTTTTCCAGTATTAGCTCTGAAAGTCTCATGTCAGTCCTGGATAAACAAACTAGGAGTAGAGAGTGTTTTCTGTTCCTCAGCTGCAATGGGTTTTCCCCAGAGTCCTAAGGGTGGCAGTGCTGACTACCCTCCTCTTAGGTGAAAGCTTTTGTTCCTCGGAAGAGATAAAGGAGAAGGTCCTGGTGGGGGGTTCTTGCTCCTTTCGGCAGAGGCTGCTATTCTGCTTTCTCAGTGTGTTCCTGGTGGGGCTCCTGGAGAAGAGCTTGCAAGAGGGTGCAAACTCTCCTGTACCTGAAACTCCCAGGGGCTCTACATTCTCCTACCAGCCCACATGCAGCCTCTACCAATGTGTTAACTATTCTGGCTAGATTCTTTCTACCAGTGTCTGTGTCTGCCCCAGGTCAGCAAGATGTCTTATGTCTCCCTGCAGACACTTCTCATTCCTTAGATTTTGGGCTACTGGGTTTTCCTGCAACTTCAGTTTTCTGATGGGTTTAAGGAAAGTGATAAACTTGCAGTCTGTCTGGCAGTGGATTATCACACACAATAATGAAGTGAGGTTCTTTCAAGCTCTGTACATCTCTGAGTCAAACATTTGATTTTTAATGTGTAACTAATAAAAAATTCAACTGCACACACACAATACACACACATGCACATAAACACACACAACCCACTATATATTCAACTCATAGCTGCCATAGGTTGATGAGTATACTCATTATTGTCTTGTATTTGTCAGAAGTTCAGATAAGAGCAGGTAGGATTGGTTGTAGTTTCAGTGAACTATCCTGAAGAAGTATCATTTCCATTTCTCTTCTATGTGCAATCTAGGAATGTTGTGGAAGTTTCTTTTGCATTTAGAATGTCAGCCACCATATTGACATTCTGTCTCTCTGCACATTTGGCCCTCGCTTTCCTTTACAAATTGGATTTGTATTGTTTACTTAGATTTATTCTTGTTGCAGTCTATTAATTTAATAAATATATATTGGGTGTTTACAGAGAGTAAGTTATATTAGAGATACAAAGTACATGTTGAATTCTTATGGAAAGTCCCAATATTTTAAGAGTTTGGGGCTCAAACGTGTCTTGTAAGTTGATGTCTTGTTATTTTCAACTCTGTAGATGTCTCTGTGTTAGGAAAACTTGGATAAGCAGGTCCATAGAAATTCCTCTGCTAGCCCTGTCTCCTGGAATTTCTACATAATGGCATATCCTCAGGTAGGTACAGATTCTCTTTACAATCTATGTCTTCATTGAATGATTAACAGAAAATTTTAAACTAACTATTTGAGGGACATTATACTTATACTTGCTCTATTAATTAATAGCTATTATAACCACTATGGTAACTAGTATCTCTTTTATTACCTAGTACTATCTAATGGTTACTTCTGTCTCATAATTATCTTTAACTCATAAATATTACAAATATCATTTGTTGCATTTCTGTAGATACTCAAAAAATGTTTATTGAATTATATTGAGCTTTGCATCCCTTATCTTAATATCAATATATTTTCAAAGAAAACCTCTGTTAAAAAGGGAACTATAACACTTTTAACTGCTGTAATTTTTATTAAATACATTCATTAATATTAGTTTAACGGTTGTTTTTAATAGCAAAACATTCTAAGCAAACTAAATAATAATAGGAATGTTTTTTGCCACTCAAGTCAAGTTTTTGTCATTTTAAACCCTGTTCAAAAATTTTTTTAATTAAAATACCATTAAAGTAATGTTTTGGTATACAATTCTATGTGTGTTTTTTAAATTTTATTATTATTATACTTTAAGTTTTAGGGTACCTGTGCACAACGTGCACGTTTGTTACATATGTGTACATGTGCCATGTTGGTGTGCTGCACCCATTAACTCGTCATTTAGCATTAGGTATATCTCCTAATGCTATCCCTCCCCCCTCCCCCAACCCCACAACAGTCCCCAGTGTGTGATGTTCCCCTTCCTGTGTCCATGTGTTCTCATTGTTCAATTCCCACCTATGAGTGAGAACATGCAGTGTTTGGTTTTTTGTCCTTGCCATAGTTTGCTGAGAATGATGGTTTCCAATTTCATCCATGTCCCTACAAAGAACATGAACTCATCATTTGTTGTGGCTGCATAGTATTCCATGGTGTATATGTGCCACATTTTCTCAATCCAGTCTATCATTGTTGGACATTTAGGTTGGTTCCAAGTCTTTGCTATTCTGAATAGTGCTGCTATAAACATACATGTGTATGTGTCTTTATAGCAGCATGATTTATAGTCCTTTGGGTATATACCCAGTAATGGGATAGCTGGGTCAAATGGTATTTCTAGTTCTAGATCCCTGAGGAATCGCCGCACTGACTTCCACAGTGGTTGAACTAGTTTACAGTCCCACCAACAGTGTAAAAGTGTTCCTATTTCTCCACATCCTCTCCAGCACCTGTTGTTTCCTGACTTTTTAATGATCGCCATTCTAACTGATGTGAGATGGTATCTCATTGAGGTTTTGATTTGCATTTCTCTGATGGCCAGTGATGATGAGCATTTTTTCATGTGTGTTTTTGGCTGCATAAATGTCTTCTTTTGAGAAGTATCTGTTCATATCCTTTGCTCACTTTTGGATGGGGTTGTTTGTTTTTTTCTTGTAAATTTGTTGGAGTTCATTGTAGATTCTGGATATTAGCCCTTTGTCAGATGAGTAGGTTGCAAAAATTTTCTCCCATTCTGTAGGTTGCCTGTTCACTCTGATGGTAGTTTCTTTTGCTGTGCAGAAGCTCTTTAGTTTAATTAGATCCCATTTGTCAATTTTGTCTTTTGTTGCCATTGCTTTTGGTGTTTTAGACATGAAGTCCTTGCCCATGCCTATGTCCTGAATGGTATTGCCTAGGTTTTCTTCTAGGGTTTTTATGGTTTTAGGTCTAACATTTAAGTCTTTAATCCATCTTGAATTAATTTTTATATAAGGTATAAGGAAGGGATCCAGTTTCAGCTTTCTGCATATGGCTAGCCCGTTTTCCCAGCACCATTTATTAAATAGGGAATCCTTTCCCCATTGCTTGTTTTTCTCAGGTTTGTTAAAGATCAGATAGTTGTAGATATGCGGCGTTATTTCTGAGGGCTCTGTTCTGTTCCATTGGTCTATATCTCTGTTTTGGTACCACTACCATGCTGTTTGGGTTACTGTAGCCTTGTAGTATAATTTGAAGTCAGGTAGCGTGATGCCTCCAGCTTTGTTCTTTTGGCTTAGGATTGACTTGCCGATGCAGGCTCTTTTTTGGTTCCATATGAACTTTAAAGTAGTTTTTTCCAATTCTGTGAAGAAAGTCATTGGTAGCTTGATAGGGATGGCATTGAATCTGTAAATTACCTTGGGCGGTATGGCCATTTTCATGATATTGATTCTTCCTACCCATGAGCATGGAATGTTCTTCCATTTGTTTGTATCCTCTTTTATTTCATTGAGCAGTGGTTTGTAGTTCTCCTTGAAGAGGTGCTTCATGTCCCTTGTAAGTTGGATTCCTAAGTATTTTATTCTCTTTGAAGCAATTGTGAATGGGAGTTCACTCATGATTTGGCTCTCTGTTTGTCCATTATTGGTGTGTAAGAATGCTTGTGATTTTTGTACATTGATTTTGTATCCTGAGACTTTGCTGAAGTTGCTTATCAGCTTGAGGAGATTTTGGGCTGAGATGATGGGGTTTTCTAAATATACAATCATGTCATCTGCAAACAGGGACAATTTGGCTTCCTCTTTTCCTAATTGAGTACCCTTTATTTCCTTCTCCTGCCTGATTGCCCTGGCCAGAACTTCCAACACTATGTTGAATAGGAGTGGTGAGAGAGGGCATCCCTGTCTTGTGCCAGTTTTCAAAGGGAATGCTTCCAGTTTTTGCCCATTCAGTATGATATTGGCTGTGGGTTTGTCATAGATAGCTCTTATTATTTTGAGATACGTCCCATCAATACCTAATTTATTGAGAGTTTTTAGCTTGAAGCATTGTTGAATTTTGTCAAAGGCCTTTTCTGCATCTATTGAGATAATCATGTGGTTTTTGTCTTTGGTTCTGTTTATATGTTGGATTACATTTATTGATTTGCGTATGTTGAACCAGCCTTGCATCCCAGGGATGAAGTCCACTTGATCATGGTGGATAAGCTTTTTGATGTGCTGCTGGATTCAGTTTGCCAGTATTTTATTGAGGATTTTTGCATCAATGTTCATCAAGGACATTGGTCTAAAATTCTCTTTTTTGGTTGTGTCTCTGCCAGGCTTTGGTATGAGGATGATGCTGGCCTCATAAAATGAGTTAGGGAGGATTCCCTCTTTTTCTATTGATTGGAATAGTTTCAGAAGGAATGGTACCAGCTCCTCTTTGTACCTCTGGTAGAATTCAGCTGTGAATCCATCTGGTCCTGGACTTTTTTTGGCTGGTAAGCTATTGATTATTGCCTCAATTTCAGAGCCTGTTATTGGTCTATTCAGAGATTCAACATCTTCCTGGTTTAGTCTTGGGAGGATGTATGTGTTGAGGAATTTATCCATTTCTTCTAGATTTTCTACTTTATTTGTGTAGAGGTGTTTATAGTATTCTCTGATGGTAGTTTGCATTTCTGTGGGATCGGTGGTGATATCCCCTTTATCATTTTTTATTGTGTCTATTTGATTCTTCTCTCTTTTCTTCTTTATTAGTCTGGCTAGCGGTCTATCAATTTTGTTGATCTTTTCAAAAAACCACCTCCTGGATTCATTAATTTTTTGAAGGGTTTTTTGTGTCTCTTTTTCCTTCAGTTCTGCTCTGATCTTAGTTATTTCTTGCCTTCTGCTAGCTTTTGAATGTGTTTGCTCTTGCTTTTCTAGTTCTTTTAATTGTGATGTTAGGGTGTCAATTTTGGATCTTTCCTGCTTTCTCTTGTGGGCATTTAGTGCTATAAATTTCCCTCTACACACTACTTTGAATGTGTCCCAGAGATTCTGGTATGTTGTGTCTTTGTTCTCGTTGGTTTCAAAGAACATCTTTATTTCTGCCTTCATTTCATTATGTACCTAGTAGTCATTCAGGAGCAGGTTGTTCAGTTTCCATGTAGTTGAGCGGTTTTGAGTGACTTTCTTAATCCTGAGTTCTAGTTTGATTGCACTGTGGTCTGAGAGACAGTTTGTTATAATTTCTGTTCTTTTACATTTGCTGAGGAGTGCTTTACTTCTAACTATGTGGTCAATTTTGGAATAGGTGTGGTGTGGTGGTGAAAAGAATGTATATTCTGTTGATTTGGGGTAGAGAGTTCTGTAGATGTCTATTAGGTCTGCTTGGTACAGAGCTGAGTTCAATTCCTGGGTATCCTTGTTAACTTTCTGTCTCATTAATCTGTCTAATGTTGACAGTGGGGTGTTAAAGTCTCCCATTATTATTGTGTGGGAGTCTAAGTCTCTTTGTAGGTCACTCAGGACTTGCTTTATGAATCTGGGTGCTCCTGTATTGGGTGCATATATATTTAGGATAGTTAGCTCTTCTTGTTGAATTGATCCCTTTACCATTATGTAATGGCCTTCTTTGTCTCTTTTGATCTTTGTTGGTTTAAAGTCTGTTTTATCGGAGACTAGGATTGCAACCCCTGCCTTTTTTTGTTTTCCATTTGCTTGGTAGATCTTCCTCCATCCCTTTATTTTGAGCCTATGTGTGTCTCTGCATGTGAGATGGATCTCCTGAATACAGCACACTGATGGGTCTTGACTCTTTATCCAATTTGCCAGTCTGTGTCTTTTAATTGGAGCATTTAGCCCATTTATATTTAAAATTAATATCGTTATGTATGAAGTTGATCCTGTCATTATGATGTTAGCTGGTTATTTTGCTCGTTAGTTGATGCAGTTTCTTCCTAGCCTTGATGGTCTTTACAATTTGGCATGTTTTTGCAGTGGCTGGTACCAGTTGTTCCTTTCCGTGTTTAGTGCTTCCTTCAGGAGCTCTTTTAGGGCAGGCCTGGTGGTGACAAAATCTCTCAGCATTTGCTTGTCTGTAAAGTATTTTATTTCTCCTGCACTTATGAAGCTTAGTTTGGCTGAATATGAGATTCTGGGTTAAAAATTCTTTTCTTTAAGAATGTTGAATATTGGTCCCCACTCTCTTCTGGCTTGTAGAGTTTCTGCTGAGAGATCAGCTGTTAGTCTGATGGGCTTCCCTTTGTGGGTAACCCGACCTTTCTCTCTTGCTGCCCTTAACATTTTTTCCTTCATTTCAACTTTGGTGAATCTGATAATTATGTGTCTTGGAGTTGCTCTTCTCGAGGAGTATCTTTGTGGCGTTCTGCGTTTTTCCTGAATTTGAATGTTGGCCTGCCTTGCTAGATTGGGGAAGTACTCCTGGATAATATCCTGCAGAGTGTTTTCCAACTTGGTTCCATTCTCCCCGTCACTTTCAGGTACACCAATCAGACGTAGATTTGGGCTTTTCACATAGTCCCATATTTCTTGGAGGTTTTGTTCATTTCTTTTTATTCTTTTTTCTCTAAACTTCTCTTCTCACTTCATTTCATTCATTTCATCTTCCATCACTGATACCCTTTCTTCCAGTTGAGCGCATCGGCTACTGAGGCTTCTGCATTCGACACGTAGCTCTTGGGCCTTGGTTTTCAGCTCCATCAGGTCCTTTAAGGACTTCTCTGCATTGGTTATTCTAGTTCTCCATTCATCTAATTTTTTTTCAAAGCTTTTAACTTCTTTGCCATTGGTTCGAATTTCCTCCCGTAACTCAGAGTAGTTTGATCGTCTGAAGCTTTCTTCTCTCAACTCATCAAAGTCATTCTCCTTCTAGCTTTGTTCCATTGCTGGTGAGGAGCTGCATGCCTTTGGAGGAGGAGAGTTGCTCTGATTTTTAGAGTTTTCAGTTTTTCTGCTCTGTTTTTTTCCCACCTTTGTGGTTTTATCTACCTTTGGTCTTTGATGATGGTGGCGTAGAGATGGGTTTTTGGTGTGGATGTCCTTTCTGTTTGTTAGTTTTCCTTCTAACAGACAGGACCCTCAGCTGCAGGTCTGTTGGAGTTTGCTAGAGGTCCACTCCAGACCCTGTTTGCCTGGGTATCAGCAGCGGTGTCTGCATTACAGCAGATATTGGTGAACCGCAGATGCTGCTGCCTGATCATTCCTCTGGAAGTTTTGTCTCAAAGGAGTACCTGGCCGTGTGAGGTGTCAGTCCGCCCCTACTGGGGGGTGCCTCCCAGTTAGGCCACTCGGGGGTCAGGGACCCACTTGAGGAGGCAGCCTGCCTGTTCTCAGATCTCAAGCTGCATGCTGGGAGAACCACTACTCTCTTCAAAGCTGTCAGAGAGGGACATTTAAGTCTGCAGAGGTTACTGCTGTTTTTTTGTTTGTCTGTGCCCTGCCCTCAGAGGTGGAGCCTACAGAGGAAGGGAGGCCTCCTTGAGCTGTGGTGGGCTCCACCCAGTTCGAGCTTCCAGGTTGCTTTGTTTACCTAATCAAACAACTAACTCGACAATGGCAAGCACCCCTCCCCCAGCTTCGCTGCTGCCTTGCAGTTTGATCTCAGACTGCTGCGCTAGCAATGAGCAAGACTCCGTGGCCGTAGGACCCTCTGTGCCAGGTGCAGGATATAATCTCCTGGTGTGCCGTTTTTTAAGCCCGTTGGAAAAGCGCAGTATTAGGGTGGGAGTGACCTGATTTTCCAGGTGCCATCTGTCACGCTTTCTTTGACTAGGAAAGGGAATTCCCTGACCCCTTGCGCTTCCCGGGTGAGGCGATGCCTCGCCCTGCTTTGTCTCACTCACGGTGCACCGCACCCACTGTCCTGCACCTACTGTCTGGCACTCCCCAGTGAGATGAACCCAGTACCTCAGTTGGAAATGCAGAAATCACCCGTCTTCTGTGTCGCTCATGCTGGTAGCTGTAGACCAGAGCTGTTCCTATTTGGCCATCTTGATTCTATGTGTTTTAACACATGTATAGCTTCATGGAACCACTGACACAATCAGGATACAGAACAGTTCCAGCATCACCAAAATTACCCTAATACTAGTTCTTTTTAGTCATCACTTCTCCCACTCCTAACCCCTGTAAGCTACTGATCTGTTCCCCCCATAGCTTTACCTTTTCCAAAGTGTCATTTACACGGAGTCTTCCAGTATGTAACATTTTATGACTTTCTTCTTTCAGTCAGTATACTGCCTTCAAGATCCATTCATGTTATTTGCATATCAATAATTAGTTCCTTTTTATTCCTGAGCAGTATTCTCCTGTATGGACTACATCTTGCTTATTTATTCACGTATTGACATTGGGATAGTTTCCAAATTTTGGTGACTGTGGGTGAAGATGCTGTAATCATTTGTATCTAGGTTTTCATCTGTGAACATATATTTTTATTTCTCTAGGCTAAATGGGATTGCTGGGTAATATGGCAAGTGTATGTTTAACTTTATAAGAATCTGCCAGGCACAGCAGCTCACTCCTATAATCCCAGCTACTCAGGAGGCAGAGGCAGGAGGATCTCAGGATTTGAGGCTGCAGTGAGCTATGATTGCATCACTGCACTCCAGCCTGGGCACTACAGTGAGACCCTGTCTTTAAACTAAATAAATAAATAAATATGAAAAATAAAATAAAAAACCTGCCAAACTGCTCTAGAATGTCTGTACCATTTTGGATTTCCACTAACAATATATGACAGTTGCACTTGCGCTTCATCATTGTTAGCTCTTGATATTGTCAGTTGGTTTTGTTGCTGTTGTTTCAGGTTATTTTTTGCCATTTTCCTAGTATGAAATGGTATGTAGTGGTATCTGGGGCAGACACAGTAAGACACTGGTAGAAATAACCCAGCCAGAATAGTTAATGAATTGGTAGAGGCTGCATGTGGGCTGCTAGGAGAATGTGGAGCCCCTGGGGGCTTCGGGTACAGGAGAGTTTGCACTCTCTTGCAAGCTCTTCTCCAGGAGCCCTACCAGGAGCACACCGAGAAAGCAGAAGAGCAGCCTCTGCTGAAAGGAGCAAGAACCCCCCACCAGGACCTTCTCCTTCATCTCTCCTGTGGAACAAAAGCCTTCACCTAAGAGGAGGAGGGTAGCCAGCGCTGCCACCCTCAGGACCCTGGGGAAAACCCATTGCAGTTGAGGAACAGAAAGCACTCTCTACTCCTAGTTTGTTTGTCCAGGACTGACATGGGACTTTCAGAGCTAAAACTGGAAAAGTCCCTGACAAGCTGGGAGGGGTTGGTCACCCCATCCTGGGTGCCACACTAGAACGTCTACAGGGCCCTAAACTACAGCTGAGGGAGAGAGAGGACTATGAGAAGACCACATCCCCATACACACTGCTGCCTAAGATAGGGCTTAATAGGACAGAGAGCTCCTCCTCCCCATCACCAGGCTCACAAGTGGAGTAGCAAGTCACAGTGGGATGTTGCTGGAAGAGGCCCAAGAGTGTGGGCACAGACCATTTCTGAGGTACAGTGCAAAGGGAAGATCTAAAGCTGAAGATGGAGCAGAATTGAAAAAACTACAGGCAAACCAGCCCCCAACTGAACCACAAAGTGTCACTAAAGGAATTTGATGCTTGTGGTGCCCTAAGGGTAACCACTACAGTGGAGGAAGAGAATTAAACTCAGCCCAACTCCTAACGCAGACTCACACTCTAGAATCCTAGCAGAAGGACAGACAGGTGTATGCATTTTCAGGCATAAAATCTATTTTCCTCATCTCTGCTGTCCTTAACAAGGTGTCTGGCTTTCAACAAAAAATTACAAGTCATACAAAAAAGTGATAAAGAAAACAACAACACACTGTCAAAAATAAAGCAGTCAACAGAACCAGACCCCAGATATGACAGAGATGTTGGAACTATCTGACAGGAAATTGAAAATAACTATGAGTAATATGATATAGCTCTAGTGGAAAAGGAGAACAACATGCCAGATCAGATGGGTGATTTCAGGAGAAATGGAAACTATAAGGATCAATCAAACTGAAATGCAAAAAGTGAAAATCACAGCAACAGAAGTGAAGAATGCCTTCAATGGGCACATCAGAAGATGTAACAAAGAATCAGTGAACTTGAGCATCAGTTTATAGCAATCACCCAAACTGAAACACAAAGAGGGAAAAAAATTCAAAGCTTCCTATGTATTCACCCAAGAGAAGTGAAAACTTATGTTCACACAAAAACCTGTACATGAGTGTTTATCATACTTTATTCATAATCACCCCAAACTGTGTGGCCCAGGTGTATTTCAACCAGTGAACAGATAAACAAACCATGATACAGCCACACAATGGAATGCTACTCTGCAGTAAAAAGGAATGAACTATTGATGCTTGCAAGCATATCGATTAATCTCAAGTATATTTTGCCAAGTGAAAGTAGACAGACCCATATTATTTCATGTATGTACCTTCCTGGAAAAGACCAAAATTGTGACAGAACACGGATGAGTGGTTGCCAAAGATTGCAGGTGCGGGTAGTGGTTGTCTACAAAGGAGCAGCACTGGGGAACTTTTGGGGTGAGAATTGATTTGTGTCATGACTGTGCAAGTGGATACATGGCCCTAAGCATTTGTCAAAATCTGAGGAATTATACAACTCAATGAGTGGATTTTACTCTATGTAAACTAAATAAAAATATACTAAGATGTGGGGGTATCCCAAAATGGAATACAAACTATCAAATGTTACTAGTCTAACGTATGAGTGACATTACCACACTGACACAGATGGAGAACAGAACTAACCTAAGTAACTTTTAGAAGTCAGTATTTTGATTGGATTCTACTAAAATGAAAGAAAAAAACTATTGTACCTAGTTGCTATGTGCTATTTAATAAATGTGTTTCTCACAGGGGTATGAGTTAGCAATTCTGAAACTACTTGTGTATACTAACATTGAAAAAAAAGCAATTTTATTTTAAACTGTGAGAGCCAGTTGTACATTTGAGAAAGAACAACACTGTGGCTCCCTCCTCTCCCTCTCCCTCCTCTCCCTCTCCCTCCTCTCCCTCTCCCTCCTCTCCCTCTCCCTCCTCTCCCTCTCCCTCTCCCCCTCCCCACGGTCTCCCTCTCCCCACAGTCTCCCCCTGATGCTGAGCCAAAGCTGGACTGTACTGCTGCCATCTCGGCTCACTGCAACCTCCCTGCCTGATTCTCCTGCCTCAGCCTGCCGAGTGCCTGCGATTGCAAGCGCGCGCCGCCACGCCTGACTGGTTTTCGTATTTTTTTGGTGGAGACGGGGTTTCGCTGTGTTGGCCGGGCTGGTCTCCAGCTCCTAACCGCGAGTGATCCGCCAGCCTCGGCCTCCCGAGGTGCCGGGATGGCAGACGGAGTCGCGTTCACTCAGTGCTCAATGGTACCCAGGCTGGAGTGCAGTGGCGTGATCTCGGCTCGCTACAACCTCCACTTCCCAGCTGCCTGCCTTGGCCCCGCAAAGTGCCGAGATTGCAGCCTCTGCCCGGCCGCCACCCCGTCTGGGAAGTGAGGAGCGTCTCTGCCTGGCTGCCCATCGTCTGGGATGTGAGGAGCCTCTCTGCCTGGCTGCCCAGTCTGGAAAGTGAGGAGCGTCTCTGCCCGGCCGCCATCCCATCTAGGAAGTGAGGAGCGTCTCTGCCAGGCCACCCATTGTCTGAGATGTGGGGAGCGCCTCTGCCCTGCTGCCCCGTCTGGGATGTGAGGAGCGTCTCTGCCCGGCCGCCCCGTCTGAGAAGTGAGGAGACCCTCTGCCTGGCAACTGCCCCGTCTGAGAAGTGAGGAGCCCCTCCGCCCGGCAGCCACACCCTCTGAGAAGTGAGGAGCGTCTCCGCCTGGCAGCCACCCCGTCTGGGAGGGAGGTGGGGGTCAGCCCCCCGCCTGGCCAGCCACCCCGTCCGGAAGGGAGGTGGGGGGGTTAGCCCCCTGCCCAGCCAGCCGCTCCATCCGGGAGGGAGGTGGGGGGATCATCCCCCTGCCCGGCCACCTGCCCGTCCGGGAGGTGAGGGGTGCCTCTGCCCGGCCGCTCCTACTGGGAAGTGAGGAGTCCCTCTGCCCGGCCAGCCGCCCCGTCCGGGAAGGAGGTGGGGGGGTCAGCCCCCCGCCCGGCCAGCCGCCCCGTCCGGGAGGTGAGGGGCGCCTCTGCCCGGCCGCCCCTACTGGGAAGTGAGGAGCCCCTCTGCCTGGCCAGCCGCCCCATCTGGGAAGGATGTGGGGGGGTTAGCCCCCCGCCTGGCCAGCCGCCCCATCTGGGAGGTGAGGGGCGCCTCTGCCCGGCCGCCCCTACTGGGAAGAGAGGAGCCCCTCTGCCCGGCCAGCCACCCCATCCGGGAGGGAGGTGGGGGGGTCAGCCCCCCACCCAGCCAGCCGCCCCATCCGGGAGGGAGGCGGGGAGGTCAGCCCCCCGCCCGGCCAGCCGCCGCGTCCAGGAGGGGGGCGGGGGGGTCAGCCCCCCGCCCGGCCAGCCACCCCATCCAGGAGGTGAGGGGCGCCTCTGCCCAGCCGCCCCTACTGGGAAGTGAGGAGCCCCTCTGCCCGGCCACCACCCCGTCTGGGAGGTGTACTCAACAGCTCATTGAGAACGGGCCATGATGACAATGGCGGTTTTGTGGAATAGAAAGGGGGGAAAGGTGGGGAAAAGATTGAGAAATCGGATGGTTGCCGTGTCTGTGTAGAAAGAGGTAGACATGGGAGACTTTTCATTTTGTTCTGTACTAAGAAAAATTCTTCTGCCTTGGGATCCTGTTGATCTGTGACCTTACCCCCAACCTTGTGCTCTCTGAAACATGTGCTGTGTCCACTCAGGGTTGAATGGATTAAGGGTGGTGCAAGATGTGCTTTGTTAAACAGATGCTTGAAGGCAGCATGCTCGTTAAGAGTCATCACCACTCCCTAATCTCAAGTACCCAGGGACACAAACACTGCGGAAGGCCGCAGGGTCCTCTGCCTAGGAAAACCAGAGACCTTTGTTCACTTATCTGCTGACCTTCCCTCCACTATTGTCCTGTGACCCTGCCAAATCCCCCTCTGCGAGAAACACCCAAGAATGATCAATTAAAAAAAAAAAAAAAAAAAGAACAACACTGTGTTGCTGAACTAGAATTGGATTGGAACTCTGAACGCATAAATATATATACACAGACTAATGTAGATATAGACATAAATGTAAGTACGTGCTGCATGGGGCAAATATATATATTTATTTATACACACACACTCACATATGTATATATGCATGTGATCTCTTTTTTATTAAAATTCATGCACCTCTTTCAAGACCAGCTCAATGCTAACCTTATCCATTAAATCTTCCATTTTGACTTCTGTAGATTCCCATTTTGCTTTATAATTCTCTTATAGCATCTGTCAGATTTGACTTGCACTTTTGTACATATCTTAGATTTTTGTACATATTTCCAGATATCAAACTCTTAAAGTTTGCTTGTTTGGATTATATCTTTTACAACACCTTCCATGGTCTCTTAAATTGTATAGATACTCAGTAAATGTACTGAATGGGATTTAATGTTAGAGATATCTAGACACAAATCTGAACATGTAGGAATTATTACATGTCCTTGAGGTAATCGGTTATCTTCAAGCTAGACTCCTCCTTAGGGCCGTAGAAGGCCCAAAGATACTCTTCAGGGTTCAGTGCTGGGCTCTCAACATTTTCCCTTTTACTGTATCTTCAATATTATCTAGTCCCCATGGCTATGAAAACTAAATGCTGATCATCCTTGAAGGTATATATCCAGCCTTAACTTCTCCTCTGGGAAACTTGGGCATCTTCCTGATCCCCTTGCCATTTCCCTCTCCTCACTTGCCCCCAACCCACAAGGGAGGTATGTGCCAGCTCTCTTCCAATTCTCCTCCAGTTAACCCATCACTGTCATAGTCTAAGCCAGCATCATCTCCCACCAAACTTCTAAAGGCTTCTGAACTGATCCATTGTTTTACACACTTTATTTCAACTCTTTCTTCATAAAGCAGTTAGAATGATTGTTTTTAACATCTATATCAAGTGTCAGTTTAAATTTTTGAAAATTCTTCAGTGACTCTCCATTGTACAGAATAAAATCAAGTCCCTTTATGTTTTTGTCCTCAAAGCTCTGCATACAACTGTGTTCCCAGTCATGAGCCTATAGTCAGTTCCTAAACTCAGCAGTCTCTTTCCTTCTTTAGGGCTTTTGCAAACACATTTTACTTCTGCTGGAACAGAGTTTCTCAAACTCTCTGTGGGGAAGGATCAAATCTTTTTCCCCCCAATCTATCAGAGAATTATACGTAAAAAAACCAACTATTAGAAAAAAATTTTAAAGAATGTTTTATTTTTAGATTTAACAGACATAAAGTTAGTCTTATCAAATTGCTATAAATGTTACAAATGCTTCCTCTCAGTTTCTGTACAGATCTCATTAGGGTCCAGGAACAGTTTTCTACTGAGTAACAATGTTAGAATACTCTATGTGACTGATTCCATCTGATTCTTAAGATCTCAGCCTGTCACTTTCTCCAAGAGTCTGTCCTCACCATGCTGTCTGATGAGTTCATTCCCCTTTATGATACTGTATTTTCCATCACTGCAACCTATTTGTTTCATCCATAACACAAAAGTAAATTATACACATAACACACATACACACATTTCTCTGCTTACTTTATTCTCTGCCTCTCCCCCAGAAACTCCAGGTATCAGGGACTATGACCGTTTTGTTCACTAAGGTATATAGATTACAAAGTCAAACAATGTCAAACATGATTTGAGACTAATGGATTTCTCAGAGCCTTTACTATGCTAATATGAAGTGTGAAATTCCAAGAGATAGGTATAAAGTACAGAGTTTCCCAAACTCATTTGGCCTTGAACCATTTCATTAGGATATAGTCTATAGAATGCGTTGTAGATAATGCCTATCTAAAGAAACACCTGGAAAGTTTGAATATGTTAAAACTATTTTTACCAAGTTATAAATGTTAAGGTATACTGATATGAAAACTTAACTTGCTATGATTATTTTGTTATCAGAGAAGAAAACAGAGGACTAGAATTATGCCAAATATTTTGTGGGATAAATGTGTGTGATGCTTATTTGCCAGTTTTTCTTTCAGTTTCCTTTCTTCCCTTTCATTACGGAAAATTAAATTTCCCAAATTTCTCAGCCAAATGATTTTTGGATAGGTTATTCTAAAAAGAAGCACTGGCAGGACATTGGAAAGATGAAGGAAAAGAAAATATTTATTTTGTTTATTTATTTGTAATTCTAGCTGCTTCTGACAGCAATAGTAGCCTTCTGTGGTTCCAGGACTGTCCACAGTTCCAGCAGCAGAAAAACAGCAGTAAAGCCGGCAGGCTGAGCCCTCTGCGGCTTTTGGCAGCTGCAGCACAGTGACAATCGGATTGGTGGCAACCTGGTTTCAGGCCCCCAGCCATGTCTGCTGGGAGCCGCCCCCAACCCCCACCCCCGCCGCCAGGTCTTCCCTGCCCCTGGGTTCCTCCAGCCAAGCCAGGGCTGGTAGCGACTTTCTGTAGTCACTGGCTCTGTGTTGCACACCTTTGGCCTTTTGCTCCTTCAGGCCTTCCAACACTTTTGAAACCAGTTCCTTGTATGAAATCCCTTCTGTTCGAAATACCTAGAGTGGCTTCTGTTTTTTTCTGACTGGACATTGATTGATTATGGGGCCAAGATAGGAAAAGGTGACACTGTCTCTCAGATTGCATGAGAGTAGAAAAATGTCCTCTCCTCTGTCTGATGTCAATAGGATTCAAGAGCAAGAGAAAGACCTAGAGCAAAATGAAATAAAAAATAATGGGAACAATACCATGAAGAAAATAAGAGCCCGAGATTCTAATTTCCATCTTTCATGGGGTGACTTTTGCACATCATTTCACTATTTTAAACTTGACTGTCTTCTACTTCATTCCTCACTTGATTGTTTCCTACACCAAAGGGCAGTTCCACTGATGACCTCTCTCAGTCCACCAAAAACTACCCTCAAATAAGCACCCTGAGTAAAGGCAGTGTGTTTGCTCTGCCCATGAAGTTGGAGCTTCAGGACCAGTCTCCCAGTTTCCAGCTGGACTGTCACCCCAAATTCTAAGTAAAATCTGGAGTTGCCACTATTCAACAGTTATTTATTAAATATTACTCTTGGGAGGCACTGGGCAGAGGAAAAATAAGCTCACATAATGATGTGTGTGAGACAAGCAATATGTACAAAGAGCAGTAAATCTTTCAGGGAAACGAGCTATCGTAGAGGTGCAAATTAAGGCAACAAGAACTGGGAGGAGGGAACAATTAATTCTGTGGGATTCTTCAAAAGGCTTCCCAGTTGGTGCATGTAGTTGGGTAGAGAGCTCATGGGGTGGAGTGAAAACAGTAGAGACCAGAAAGATATAGTGGAATGAGATTCAGTGGGACCGTCAGAGCCCAGACCTGTTACTATTTTTGAGGGTATTAGGGACCCCTAGTAGACTTTTAAATTAAGAAGAGATGTGAAGATATTTTAAAACTTGCAATATATAAATACAGGATACAGTTGTTGAGGAATAAGGTTGAAGAAGAAAACATTGAGCATTTTATATTATTTTTATACAATATCTGTTATACTTAGGGTATTTTATATATATGAATATATATATATATATGAATGATTTCAGTGGGATGCTCAAGGCATAATAAGCAAAGGGAATTGCCCTAACAAATTGTCATAATAATAACATCATCTAGCCAACTGAAAAGTTGTGGGAAAAAATAATTATGTTGAAACACTAAAAATGAAGTTGCAAGAATTTAATATCTCTTTGAGCAATCTAAAGTAAAAATAATATTTTTTAAGTTTCCAGATATTACTGATTTGGATGGACACTGGGAAATAAGAATTTTGTTTATAGATATAACGAAGCTGGAAATGTGATTCAATATTGCATATAAGAAACAAATTACAGAAATATATTCTGAACTCATTTAATTCCTACATAATCCTTGATCAGTGAAGAAACAGTAATGGCATAGATATTTTTGAATACCATTACATGGGAAATTAGTTATGAATTTTCAAAGTTAAGTGACAAAAATACCAATAAAGTCAGCACTATTCTGAGCTACATATAAATGAGGAATTTTATCCCCAATGAGAAAGTTTTAATGCTCTCAAACAACCTTAGGATAAATTGTGCCTGAAATATCTCATTTGCTTTGATTAGCACTATATCAAAAGATGGAGACAAATTGAATGGAGAAATAAGAAAAGCAGTTTAGTATTGAGGAAATTGATTTGTGAAAAAACATTATAGGAATAAAATATGTGCAACTTTGTGAAGAGATGAGTAAGGAATAATGACAGCCTATAAATATTTGAAAGGTATAAACATCCAGTACTAGGAGGAATTATTTAGCATGTTATAAAGAGCTATAATTACAGTTTATGGGATGAAATTAGACAACTAAGGTTTAAAACATTCAAAACCACTTTTCTGGGGATAGTGGAAGCCTTGTATTTGAAAACATAAATAATGTTATCTTTGGGACACCTGAATGCTTGTGACTTTTTTTTTCAATTTCTATTTTTTCAGAAAATATAATTAATTCAGTGAAAAGAGACAGACATAAATCTTTTAAGTACAATAAATACTTGATTATTTTATATATTCTGCACATTTCTTTGTTTTAAGAGATTCTCAAGTGGCTCACTCAATCTTTTGGCAATAGAAATACAGAAGACAAACAAAATCCATAAATACTTTCCCAATCTAAAGTTAATCTTCTTTTCCACTAGACCTACTTACTAGCAGTGAGCAAAACTCATTAATTGGAATTTTGCCTAAACATTACTAAAGGATCGTAACTCATTGATATAGAGTAATTGGAGTTACGTACCTAATTGAGGTAAAGACAAATGTTGGCTGCTTTTACATTGAAAAGAATCAAGATTTTATTTGCACTTGACACTAATTACTATCTCTCTCTTCAATTGCTTCCTTCTCTTTAAAAGATCTAAATTTCCAGCCACAACCACTTTCCTGTGCCCATGTTCCATGTCTCATACTAGATGTCCTGTTTCCTCAAACTCAATGAACTCCAAATCAAATTTGTTTGACAAATGAAATAAAATTTGCTGCACATTTTGTGTATGCCAGGCCCTGTGCTGTCAAGCTAGAGATAAAATCATGATTATAAAAGGAATCCTACAGGGAGAAGTTCCCAGATCTCCTCTTCCTAACATTAGCTATTTCCCAAGTTTTAAACCACCTCATTCTGTTATACACACTAAGTCTGCATTTCCAAGAAGTGCTCAATTTATTGAGACTCTGGTGTGCATGATTTATTGAGAGAGGGCTCTCAGGTGAAAGGAGGAAGGGTAAGCAGGATAGGGCAGGGGAAGGAGCTAAATTAGGCTGTAGTCCCAGCTGGAGTCCAGCTTCAACCTGATCCCATGGGCGGCTCTGGAGCATAAATCGTACCACTGAATTGATCCCACCTTGACACAAGAAGGATTGCCTCTTATATCCATGTTCCTTAATTATTGATTGTGGATGGCTATCTCCCTAGAGGATGCCATGAAGGGGGCAACTATGAGCCATTATCAGTTAACTCTCAAGGTAGCTGGGGATGTATGCACCATCTGGTAAAGGACATCTGACTCACTGCCAATCATGCCTGCTATCAACACCATCACTCCCCTGACCTCTTAGGATCATAACTACTATTCCGGTTGATCCATGCCTGAGATTTGTCACTAAATCTTGAAAATTCTTGCTTTATACTCTCTCTCTCTGTGTATCCCTCCCTTCTCATGTATTCCCAGTCACCACTTGGAGTAGTCTAATTCCTTATTAATTCACACTTAATCTACAATCATATTCAATTAACCAGTCTCAATATTTCCAGTGGCGGCCGGGCGCAGTGGCTCACGCCTGTAATCCTAGCACTTTGGGAGGCCAAGGCGGGCGGATCATGAGGTCAGGAGATCGATACCATCCTGACTAACACAGAGAAACCCTGTCTCTACTAAAAAATACAAAAATTGGCCGGGCGTGGCGGCGTGTGCCTGTAGTCCCAGCTGCTGGGGAGGCTGAGGCAGGAGAATGGCGTGAACCCAGGAGGCGGAGCTTGCAGTGAGCCGAGATTGCACCACTGCCCTCCAGCCTGGGCGACAGAGCGAGACTCTGTCTCAAAAAAAAAAAAAAAAAAAAAAAGGGCATCATAGATGGGCAAAGCCATTAGGTGGGAACTGGAGTATAACAGAAAGTTCATGCTCAGTTTGAAAGGGCCAGCCTCTACTTAGCTCCAAATGTGGGAATCTGCACCCAGTTTTGCAGATCTTCTAATATTTTAAGAGAAGCCAGAATCATTTTTATTAAAGACTTCTAAATTTTATAAGCAGTAACTAATTCTAGTTTTTTTAAGTTTTGAGGGAGAAGAAAAAAATACATCTACATATCAAATGCATTCACCACAGCCATTTTGCAAATTCTGGCCAAAAGCCTAAGACAAAAGATGATATGTAAATAAATAACTATAGGTCAGCGTGAAGGGAGATAAAAATCTCAAGGGAGATGCACATAAAGTGCTTCACCAGTTTAGAAAAAAAGTGAGTAGACCCTAAGCCTTCGTGACTAAGGCCCTTGTCTTTATTAAAATTTTCCTCTCTGGTATCTAGCACAGTGCGTGGCACATACAAATCCTAAACAAATGTTCAAATCAACAACAACAAAAAAAACCACAAAGGAACCGTTTGTTGTTGGGATTGCAAAAGAGCAGGGACAGAGTACATAACGAAGCAATTATCCTAGTAGCTGAGAAGCAAAGTTGAAGCTGTCACATGCTGTCCACTGGGATTCTGTCAACCCAAGTCACTCAGAGTCCCCACTTTTCCTCTCTCAGCTTCTAGCACAAAAAGCATGTGTCAGCGTATCATTAAATGCTGTTCCTGAGCTTGCAGGCAACAACAGCAAACAAAGAGAAGAGGACAGACCTAGTCTCTAACAGTAAATAGATTTCAGTCAAGTCTTATTTTATGGGGTGTTTGGCAGTAGGGTGGTGTATGGCCACTACACATCACAATCTCCTTCAGAAGTGCCCTGTATTCCCCAATATACCCAGTATGGGTAGCTCTTTCTTTTCATGCCACAGACTACTTACTGACTGCCAGACCTTCTTAAGGGACCTGAGTCAGAAGCAGCTCTTGGAGTCATTGCAAAATGGTAGTGACTTTGGACCATATTTGGCCATCACTTGGCTGGGCTCTCTTCCTGAGCCAGCGTCGGCATCAAGGTTCCACTGTGCCTCTAGGAGAAACCTGAGCCACCGAGCAGAGCTGAGGCTAGGGAGGCACATTGTCCAGTTGGCTGACTCCAGGGATCCCAAGCTCTTTTCCAGAATAATCCACATGCTCATGCACCCTTCCCATCACCATGGAATCATGTCATAGCAGTTTGTAATCACATGTTTCTCAGTCCTCAGTGGCATCTAAACATGAGGTGCTTTCACCAAGTGTTTCATGTCTGGCCTAATTTCTCTAGGATGCTTCTCTACTGTCCACTGTGACTGAGTTTGGGTAGGAAATCATCCCTACATCCTGGAACTCTCAATTGCCTCAGCTTTAGCAGGAGGCATTCGGGATTCTCCTCTAGCCTGCCTTAGGTTCATAAATCTCGAATATAAACATTATCTGTGTGGTTCTTGTTGTTTGAACTCTACCACGCAATCCTCTTGGCTGCTTTGCATTTTTTAAAAAAGTTTCTTTATTACATAATGGAAATTATTTTCACTATGTACAGAAGTAGGCCTTGACAAATTAGCCTTTTGCTAATTGGCCCACCTCTGCCTTCCCCTTCTTGTGCTCCTAGAAATACCTATTCACCTTTTGCACCCACCTGGCCAAAACCCAATCTTGGATGAATCCAGCTCTCTGCCTGCCTTGCCTCTCTGCCCTGCTGAGTGCTGCAAAACTGATACACAACAAACAAAGTCCTAGTCCACTTATTTGTTCTCTTTCTGCAGACACAGGCTTCTTCCTTAATAGAAACGAAGAGCTTTCGGGCAGGAACTTCTAAATTCCTGGTGGCCGCACACCTAACTGTAACTACAGCACTGCCGCTCCTTCTGCCTGCTGCAGATGCGGCTGTGTCCTCTGCGGGGAACACCTCTGATGGTGTCTGGAGCCAGCCTGCTCGCCTCCTCTGGTCTTTAATCTTTCCCTCCCTCCTGCAGCCTTGGGAGATAGCTGAGGACATCCTCTTCTGGTTTCCTTGTCACACTTTCCCGTTTTACTCTAACCTTCCTTTTTGTGCCTTTTCTGTGATTTTACTGCCTCATCTTTCTTTCAGTTTTGAAACGCCTTGGGAGACTATCCTAGGTATCCCTCTTTACTCTTCACTGTACTCTATCTCAAAGGATTTCAGTCCATCCTTGTGGCTTAATTTGCCATCTATCAATATATGCTGACAGCTTTTTAAATAATTTAGTATTTATGTCTATAAAAATGAAACATGGTCAAGTAAAAAATCAAAATATTCAGAAAGTTTATGAGAAAAATTTTGTGCCCTCTTCCTTACTCATACATAGCCCCACACACCGGAAGTGCCCTCTTTTGGCCATTGCTGTCCTTAATTCTGTTATCTCCAGAACTCTAGGTAGTATGCTTATGCTTCCATTTCAAGATGTTTCACATTTAGACAATGTCCACTGACTTTGAAAGGTGGGAGTGTAGCTCACGAAACACAACTCATCCTCTTCTTTCCCTCTTCCCCTTCTAGTATTTATAATTTATATCATTTTTATGTCAGTTATCCTTGTAACTTTAAATAATAAAAATTAAATCTCCGGGTTTTTCCCCATCAACTTTCAAAAGTATTTAACTCCTCATCCTGTGTCTTGACTGGCAGAAAGCAAACAGTGAACAGTCTTATCTTCCCTGCCTTTCCACCTCCTATCTTATATCAGCTACACTTGTGATACATAATATTTTGTGATCCTAAATGTCCAAAATGGAGTCACTTATGACAAGTAACTCAGCTCACTTGTGAAACTGCTGGCCCCTCAAAGTGATAAGCATGGGTATGGTGGACTGAGGTGATAAGATAGCACCTGCTGTGGCCAGGCACCTAGAGACCCTACAAGAAAGTGAAGCCAAGAGGTGGCTGAGGTAATGACCACCACACTCCGGCAGAGGGTCATAAAAACAGCAAAGAAACTGACTACGGCTGAGACATCTGCGGAAGCTCTGCCTACAAGAACTCTGAGGGCTTCTTCCCATCTGCAGTGGCCTCGAGAAGCTCTGCCAGAAAAGAGACAACCACCCCACCCCCAGCCCCACCCCTATCCCTGTTGGTTGCATGTCCAGGGAAATCTGGACCTGCCTGGTTCATCAGTCAGCTACTCATCATGGTTCATTCCTGTCTCTCTTATGACTGCCTGTGTGTGTTGAACATATTTGCATGGTTGTTGGTGTGTGAAAGTCTTGCCATAATCCAAAAGCATTTAACTGGCCATTGAATCATTGTGAAGAGCTCCCGACCCCCACCCCAATCAGAGTCAGCACAACTAGGCTGATTCGAACCTGACACTGTAACTTGGGCTTTGCAGTTACTTTTACCCTTCTTCTATAACCAAAGCTCTTTTGCTTAATAAAGAAATTCATGCTAAAAGACAGAAACCAACAAACAGCATCACTATTGCTATTAAATATAAGCAGTATTTATATTGCTATTACATTGTAAGCACTGTTTATTGTTGAGCCAAATAATGGGCTGGAACTACACTTCCTTATCTAATTTTATGACCCCTTGGCAACTGTTGGACAATTCCAAGCATCAAGATCAAATGGATTACCTTCTTTTATACTCCCCAATTATTTAAAGCTATGCATCATTATCATTTCATCATTTTTAAATAACGACTTTCTTATATACTTTTGCCTGAAACCTCTAATCACCTTTCTCTAGTTCTTGCATGATTTGCCCTGATAATCTTCATATTTTCAGACTGTATGTCATAGTATTCCATGAAGTTCCTTTTCTCCACAGCCCTCTATTCTCTTGGCCAATCTGACAGTCTTTGTCTTTAGTCTTCTGCATGTCTGTTATCCAGGAAGTTCCCTTTCAGGTTGAAATCCCTATCTCCTGAATCTGTCTTTCTTTTTCTTGGATATACCCTTGTTTTCCTGGAGTACACTCAGGTAATTTCTTAAAAAAGGATATGTGTGGGACAAATGATCTGATGTTCAGCATGTCTGAATTTGTTTTGTTTTGTTTTGCTTTCACCCTTGGCTGTGAGTTTTGCTGATTACAAACTTTGAAGGTCCTGCTCCCCTGTCTTCTAGCCTTCACGGTTGCTGATTCCAGACTGATTCTTGTTCCTTTGCCATTAATATATTATTTTTCAATATTGAAGCTCTTATCTTTTCTTTATTGGTGCTTTGAAACTTCATGCTGCTTTGTCTAGGGAATGGTCTTTTCATTCATTTTCCAGATACCTGGTGGACCCTTCTCATCTGAAGACTGTTGTCTTAGGCTAGGTGTCCTAGTACGCAGCACCTGAGGTAAAAATTTATTATTAGGAAGTTTAATAACCAAGAAGCAGGAATGAGAGAAAATCAGAGTGAGGCACTGAAAGAGGGAGAAAAATACTGAGGCCACAGCTTTGTGAAAAGCTGACGACTGCTGAGTGGACAAGGCAGCTTCAGAAAGGAAGTTTAAAGATATGCTTCTCCACACAGTCCTTCTAAAAAGAAGAAAGTGTGATTTGCCCAGTCTCATCTCCTTCTGGGCAAAGATTGCACCATGGAATAATTCCTATACACTTACAGGTTGCATAGTTATTGGTGTCAAGAGAGTCCTCAGCAACAATGAGTCCCCAGGGTAGAAAGCAAAAGATCCTGCAGGGGCAGGAGGCAAGATATTGTCAGGTCATGTCCTTAGGTGACACGAGGGACCAAAGGCAGCTGCCACAGCAGGCCCCTTTCAGCAGCAGCGGCAGAAGCAGTGACCTGACTTCATCACCATGGGAACAGCAGCTGTCACTGCTAGATTCAGTCACTGCGGATCTGGGGTGGTTCATAAACTGAATCCCATGCAACTACTATTTTGGCAGATCTGGGAAATTGTCTTCTGGTACTTCAATTGTTTTATTTTGCTCATTCCCATTTTAAAGCTCCAAGAGCTCTTTCTTGATCTCTATTTATTCCTTTCTTGAGTATCCTATTCTTGATTTAAGGTCATGATACTTTCTCAAATATCCATGAGAACATTAGTTAGATTTTAAACGTTTTCTTCTATTAGGAGGCAGCCTGCCTAGTGATTAAGAGGATGGACTCTAAAGCCAGACAGCCTGGATTTGATTCTCAGCTCTGCTGTGGATTTACAACCTTGGGGAACTTGTCTGTGCCTTAGTTTTGATGGAGTTCAGGACACAGTACTCCAAAAGATGACATCTTGGCATAATGATTAAGAAAATGGCAGGAGCGGCAGAAAGGTCTCTCTGACCTGGAAGGAATTTTCTGACCTTCTGAAGCAGGTCCTAAAACTCTGATGTGAGAGGTACCCTCCCTATACCTGGGAGGAAGGAACATCCTGTCTTCAAAGATGAACACAGTGGCATCTGAACAAACAGGCCTTGCCAAGTTTCCACCAGTTTACTACACTTACCTCATACTCCACCTTATAGTATTTCTGCACAACTGTCCACACTTCTTCAAACCTGCTATAAAAACCACTCCCATTTCACATTTGAACGCTTTCTTCAGGTCTTCATTTCCTAATGAAGGCTCCTGTGTTACATAAAACTTATATGAAATAAATAGATGTGCTCTTCTCTTGTTAATCTGTCTTTTGTTACAGGGGCCCAACCAATAAACCTAAGATGGGTAGAAGGAAAAGGTATTTTTCTCCCCTACAGTTTCTTTTCTTTTTGTTTTTCTTTTGTTTTTTTTTGGTTGTGTGTTTCAAACAGATATAAAATACCTATTACACAAAAATTTAAAACTACCAATTTGTTAAACTTAGAAAAGATACTGATTTGTAACTAAAAAAAAAAAACCTTTACATTTTTATTTCTCAAGGTAGCTTACCTCTACTTTCTGAAAGTTGTAAAATTTTTGGTTTAAAAATTGTCACTCTATGATTGTCCCAATTTGTTTTTCTATGCCATGACAAAAACAAAATACTTTCAAAATGTTCTGAGCATTTAAATGAACATTTAAGTGTATGTAAATAAACTTATTTAAGTAACTTTTATGTTGGTAATAAACCAACACATGCATTAAATACCTCTTCAGCGTAAACAGGAAATACTGATGACGATGCCAGCATGGAACTGTCAATTCACATTACAGCACAATTAATAATCAATCTGACTAGTTTAGTGATATTTAAAGGACACAATTAGTCACTATATCTGCCAGAATAATTGAATATGTTAACATTCTCCTCGCGTAAATACCAATTTCATTATCTCATATCTTTCTCTTTACTCGTCTCCAGATAGCAATAGCCCTCCCTGTGTGGGTCATGTAGAAATGACCCAGAACTTGTTGGTCTAATATTTTCGGTCTAATTCTTTCCAACCTTTGGTAAACTTAGAAAGCCTGCAGGGATCTCATATTGATGATTTTCAATCTTTTAATTGTGATAGTCTTTTTGTTATTCTGTCTTTTCACCTTCCTTTGCCTGTCCATCTATAATTTTCAATTCAAGTTTATATCAGTCTCTTTCTTGAAACCTGGAGATTTCATCAGCCACAGATTTCCTTTTTTTTTTTTTTTTTTTTTTTTTTGCCTTTTCCTTTATTTCCTTTTCAAGCCTCAAAAATTCTTCCTGTTTTTACTTCTGCTGGGTATTACTTTCAGGTAGTAATTTTAGTTTACATTGACATTGATGGTTTTTTTGCCACTTTGTCTCTTTCTCTTCTTCCTCTTTTAGCTTCCTTAAAATATAAGCATATTTAATTGACACTTAAATATTTTTCTGTTTTTTCTAAGCTTCAATCACCAATTTGGTTTTTTTGCTCCTCTTTTTGCTTGTGATTACATTCTTGTTTACTTTGAGGAAGGACTGGCTTATCCTTCATCTTTCCCTTTAACTTGAAAGTATTCTCCCTGTTTGCTGTTTTTTAGTTTTCCAATTTTGAATAGATTTTTTTTCCTCTCTTCTAGAGTCAGACATTTTTAATGTATCTTTCATACTGTTGCACTTTATCCTGTGCTTTTCCAGGATGGTGTTGCAAAACTTTCCCTATATATCTTGTCTTCTTTTTATGTTTGTTTCTCATTTTTACAAAGTTCTGGTGATCACAATCATCCAGCACCCTTGACATCCTCCTGTTTACTGAAGGAATTTTGCAAAATCTACCATTTCTCCTGGAAGACTACTTTGTTGTATTCTGTCTACAGGAACTTTGCTTAACATTCCTCTGAAAGTTCTCCATGTTTCTAGTGACCCAAAGCCCATATGTCAATTTTCCTTGATACAGTATTCAACTAATTTTTGGCTATTTTCTTGTCTTTATTAAGCTTTTCATGTAATCAACCTCTGTTCTTTCTTAAAACTGTTTACTGTATTTTTAATTGCTTAGGTTCATTTCTCTGAGCTTTGCAACAAAATCAGGTGTAGGTGTCACACTTTATAACTGATGCTAAAGTCACTTTACATTGTTATATATTTTGAACAACTGTTATTGGGTTTTTGCTCTATTTTCCTGCTGATAATCAATTTATTTTCCAATTCTTTCAGCACACTGCCAAATTCTGAAGTTTTGTTGTTGTTGTTGTTGTAGAGATGACTCTATGTTAACAATTTGATTTTTAATTTTTACTGCTGTACATATGAACTTTGTTTTCTTAGTTTGAATAGCTCTCTGGTTCCAGTTTGAAGCTGAAAAGGTTAAATTCTACCTGAAGGATGAAAACAACCAACATTCTGTGCCAAGACAGTCAGGAGGGCAACCATGTTTCCTGGTGGAGCCTCTGGAACCACTCAAGCCAAGATGACCGGGGGTTTGGCTGGGAGGAGATGGGGAAACTACAGACCCTACAGATGGTTTCCTGTACCATGAGGTTAAGCCTGGGGGCAGGAGAGGCTGTACCTTAGTTCCTTCATCTGTAAAATAAAGTAACATAGTACCTACCTCATAAGGGTGTTCTAATGATTGAACTTATTATACGTAAACTTTGAACAGTTTGTGGCTCAGATTATTATTTCTAGTTTCTCAGATCAGTTTTTCTGTATTTTGACCTTGCTTATTCTTTTGAATGCTGCTGACAGTTCTCACATTTCTCTTTATCCTTTGTTGTCCAGCCAGGTTTTAAAAAGAAGGTGTAGATCACTAGGGTTTCTTTCCTCTGCTGTTGCATGAGTAGGATTATTTTCCTTCTAGGTCTCTGTAAGAAGAGTTTTGACCGAGAACTTCATGCACTCTGTTGAAATGGAGCACATCTGCTATAAAACTTCACTTTAGGGGCTGATGAGCAGGAACTGAATGTCAAGCTATAGATCCCTAAATAAGGTTGGCTTTCATATGCCCTATATCCTTTTCAAGATTTCAGTTAATAGGGCATTAAATGGGAGTAGTGATGATACACTAAAGTGGTAGATATTGTGAAAAGAATGTATAGAGTACAATAAAATCTTTACATAAGTTCTGCACTTGACAAGGGAGAAGAATCAATTGCTTAATTAAAAGTGAAATGTTTTTATCACTTTGAGATAATGCCCTAGGATGATTTTGAAAGTGACATGTAGTTGACTCTCTAGAATTGAGAGTAATTCTAGAATCATTATGATATTTTTTTGTGCATCCTTTAATTTTATTTAATAGGACAATAGATTTTTATTTCCCCCAGGCCGAGGCAATGGAGTATCTTTGAGTAATCTGCAAGCTGGTCCAAAGGGAATAACAAAGGAGGAAATATTCTTCGTAAACAAGCCCTGCAACCCAAAAGTGGAGTAAGAATTTCCTGTCCCAGTCTTAGGAGATGGTCAAAAGCTCTGCATATTTCTCCACTGAATTAGATTTCATAACTTCCTGTGATGTCATTTGCTATTTTTCCCCTGGCTTGAGTTAGGACTTCCCTTTCAGAGTTTTGTCAACCCAGTTTTCTTTAGACCACTTTAGAAGCAAGAATATCTACTACAGATTCATGAAAAGAGCACTGAATAAGAAGTTAGGATAAGTGGATTTCTAAGGCCAATTTTCCTTCTTACAATTTGACTTCAGAAACGAGTACTCATACCAAGCTCACATTTCCTAAATAATTCACATTCTTGAAAGGTAGAAAGAGCTGTCTTACGAAATGGTGTGTTTCCTGTCATTGAAAGTATGCCAAAAGATGCTTGAAAACCACTTCTTAAGACTCTTGTGCAATTTTCATATAATAAGATTAGACTTGATGGTTCTATAAAAAAAACTCTCTGAATCTTGAAACTCAATGATTCTGTGCTTTAGTTCTATGAAGAGAAGAGAAGCAGGGAGGGAATGATGAAGGGATCTAGCATATCTATTCAGCCTTGTGTGGATTTCAGCCTTGGTCTCTGGAGATGCTTCAAGCTTCCTAAAGTGGTACTTCTGCCTGTCCATTCTGACTCCATCCTTAGATACCCACTTTCTGATCCAAAATAAGCATGTCCATATGAATATGTTTAAGTCAGAGGCAGCTAGATGTGTACCCATAACTGGAGGGTGGCTAACCAGTGCAAACATAGATTTCTTTACATTCTTATTCTTCTTTTTAAAAATCTTATGACTTTTAAATTGTATCTCATAATACCTCTGTTCTAACATAAGATAATATTTTAAATTATCAATTATTGGCGGTGATGAACTTGCCCCAATCCATCTATGCAGATGTTTCTTCCTATGCACAGGGCAAATGCATTTAGTTTAAGAAGCTCAGGGCAACACATTTGACTGGCACACTGGATTCAGGTTTATTATCCATGGTCTTCTCACATCTTTGGAGTCTGTCTTTGCAAGACCCACCCCCTCCATCATACCAGGTCCCCATCTAATATGGAAGGAGGAATCTAATGATAGGAGAGGTTCATGGTGTTGTTTAAATAGCCCCCTCTCAGCTCATTCAAGCAGCTCTTCTCAGTCGACTCTGAACTGCTTACAATGACACATTATAGTAGAATTATTTCAGAGACCTTTTTCAACTCAATCTGGGTGTGCCTCATTGAGCTAATAAAATCCTCACCCCTGAGAAATGGTGTAATATGTGTTACATTTTGCTACAATTCATGATATGTCTTTGGAGAAGAATTGTACATTTTATATAATTTGTCAAGGACAATTTCAAAATGCATAACATCATCAATCTCACTGACAACATCGCTAATGGCTTCACTCAGTAGTCAGAGTTTTGCCAAATGCAAGCTAAGACTCAGGCCATCACACACCTGCTCCCAGCCTATTGTTTCAGATGTATCATCTGTTGAAAAGTTAACAGAGTAGGAAAAGAATTCATCCTTGAAGCATTTCCCCTCTAATTAAGTCAACAGATGCTGTTTGAAGTCTATACCTGGGGAATTTATTACTTCAGTTTTAAAAAGTAAGAGAAATTCACAGATCTGCCTTCATAATAATTGTGTTTTTTTTTTATCAAGGTCACCAGCCTAGTAATAACTGATAGTAGTCAAGAATTTGTGATGGTTGTCATTTTCAAAAACATTGGAATGACATTTTCCAAAAGTGCTTTCATTTGAATTATCATCTGGGCTTTATTGCTCCTGGGCTGGGCTCTCCCTCTCTTGGCGGGAGGCTAGACAGAGCTAGCCTTGCTCAAATGGGCTTAAGGGGTTGGGGGAGGTGGCAGGAAGTAGCTCTCAGGACCTTAATGGTTGGATGGAGGCAGACAGCAAACAGTGAAGTCAGAGGTCAAAGTCAGAAATGCATAGCTAAACCAGTCACCAGGGCAGAAACATCCTGAGGCATGCAACAGTTAACTGGTACAGCCTGTGAGTCAAAGAGCCAGTGAAAATGAGAACATGCTCCTTCTGCAAGGAGAAGTAAGCAAGATGGTATTCTTGGGAAATAGCCAAGAAGATGAGCTCTTGCTGTCTGCTGAAGTGTGAGAAGCCATGACAAAAGTGACACCCAGTGACCTGTGTAGGCTTTAGTTTCTTTATGTGTTTCCTGGTCTCCTTGCCTAATATGGGTATGGAAAAGATCACATTCAATCTTATATGTGAAGTCTAATATATTATCATCATTGTAATTGTTAAAATTTGTTTTACAATTAAGAAATAGATGGAAAGATAGATAACCTAAGAAAAACTAAAAAACAAAAAACAAACAAACAAAAAAAACAGCTGCATAAGAATATTTTCCTTTTGTGGCAGAACAAAATAGGGCCAAACATTTTGGTGTGCTGTTTTCTTTCAATTTAGTCTGTTCTTGTTAGTTTCTGATCAAAGTACTTACTTAGCATTCATGATTGCTAACATTTGTGATAATTATAATTTATGAGCAAATTATCTATTGTTACCATGACAGTCCTGGTATTTTCACAGATCAAAATTTATATACAAGAAAAAAAATCCTAACATGAAAGAATTAGATTTTTTTTAACACCAGGTCTCAAATTACCCACCTACTTTGACAGTTCTAGTGTCTTGATTGAATATTTTATGATGATACTACTTAAGATAAAAATGTAAAAGCTAATTTATAGTGACATCTCTTTATGGAAAAGGTCCCCAAGCTGATTTATTACCAGGTTGAAACATGTCAGTGAATACAAACATTTCTAAGGTAAAGAGACTTTTCAATTTTCTTTCACACTCTGTCATACAGCTTCAGCTAAATAATTTATATGAAAAACAGGGTATTTTAATTTTACAATATGCCACTTTATTTTCCTATGATATCTCTTTTAGTTTTATTCTTCAATTCGATTTGATACCTGCTATGTTCTGTACTGAGTAATAAATTTGGAAGCTATTCCCAATTATAATTCATTTTGATACCTGCACATTTGAGGGAACATAATGCCAAAGATTCAAACTTAGTTCTTCTCAGACTAGATTCTTTACTTATCACCCTCTATTCAGCAACAAAGTAGGTAATCAGTTGCCAAATTGATGCTGTTTTTCCAGTTTTCTAACTGTCTCTGCCATCCTGATTTCGTCTCCTGTTAAATTTATTACGTTATGTCATTCTGAAAGGAATTTAGAGAAAGTACACACATATATAAAATTATTTAATCATATTTTTGGTTGAGGAAGAAGGGGTTAAGGGACTATGTCTAATGATTTACTTACAGTTCTATAGAACTATTCACTAATACAATTAATAAAATAATGCACCGTAATTATAATATAATTTAAATATTCAGGAGCTCTGGGTAGTGATAGATGAATATAATTGCTGAGGTTTAAAAGGATTTTTATAAGTGAATTCATTTCAAGGATTATTAAAGGGCAAACAGATGACATGAGATTTTATATTGGTGGTAGTTTGTGTTACAGGAGCATTAGTGGTATTGTAAAGTAAGAAAGAGAAGATGAAGCCAGGAAGGTGCTATAAGCAGGACAAAGAAGAAACAGCAAAGGAAGCACAAGCTGAAGAGGAAACTGCTTATGGCTTAGCGCAATATCTTCTGGGACAGTGCATGATACAGGAGGTGGCAGTGACAGTAGTTCAGTGGGAAAGAAAGATGTGTTTGGTGACAGCATTTTGGTGAGAGGAAACAGGAGAAAATAGGGAAAAGATTAAGGGCAGAGAGAGACCAGATGGTGATCATAATGAGCCAAAACCCAAAAATGTCATGGACTCAAACCTTAGCCGTAGAGACCCAATGAAATGGAAAATTAACAAAAATAGAAAAAATATAATTTATTTTCATAATTTAATGTATTTGCATCATATCTTATCAAAAAGTATTTGAGGTGAATTATTGAAAGAGAAGATGTTTATTATAAGATTAATAAAACAGAACCAAAAGAGGAAGGGGCAGCATATGGCAACCATAAACATCAGCAGAGCGGCTGTGTGTGAGCAGATACCCTAGAGCTTCCTCCTAGCCCTGATGAAGAGGGAAACTTTTTAAATCATAAAACATTCATTAAATATCATTACCTGAAATTAGGGTACCCACAAAATATTTGTCAGAATAAATTTTCCTGGTGAGAAACAGCTCCTGGGTGACAATAGGAGTAAGATTTAACCAATAATAACCTCAATATTTGTTTCACAGCAAATAGAGAAATTAAATTTGCATAGCTAATTCTGAAAACAACCTAAGATAAAAACTCATGGCTAACAATTGAAAAAACGTATCTACAAAAGCAATGACAAAAAAGTCATTCTCTAAATGTGTAGTCTGACTTGATCCAAGGACATTGATTCATAGTGATACAGGAGGCGGGTAGGGAAGTGCTAAGCAGAGAAAGGCGGGGTCCCTGGGGAGGGCTCCCTCGGGCCTGTGCCCATGGACCTAAGTGAGGACAAGCATTTCTGTTTCCGTGCCCATAAAGTTGCCTTTTGGCCTGCCACACCCCCAATCCTGTGCCCATAAAAACCCGAGAGACCGTAGCGGGCACAGACACAAATGGCTGGTCGTCAAGAGGAGCAGAAAAGCAAACACACAGACACCAGCAGACATCGGCAGGCCATCGGTGGCGGGACAAGGCAGAATTCAGCTGGGGTGGTTAGAGGAGAGTCCCGCTGCTGGGTGGCCCGGCTGCTGGGTGGCCCGACTCCAGGGGGAGACCAACTTCCCAACCCATCCTCCTTCTGGCTCCCCATCCACCTCGCTGAGAGCAACCTCCACCACTCAATAAAACTTTGCACCCATCCTCCAAGCCCACATGTGATCCGATTTTTCTGGTACACTAGGGCAAGAACCGGGGATACAGAAGGCCCTGTGTCCTTTCGATAAGGCAGAGGGTCTAGTTGCGCTGATCAACACAAGCCAACTACAGACCGCAAAACGGAAAGAGCGCACTGTAACACACGCCCACTGGGGCTTCGCGAGCTGGAAACACTCACCCTAGATGCTGCCATGGGGTCGAAGCCCAAAAACGCTCCCCGTGACCTGCCCGTCTGCATGCTTCCCCTAGTGGTTTGAGCAGCGGAGCACCAAAGAAGCGAGCCACACCCCTGGCGCACACCCGGCGAGGGGGATAAAGGAACACTCCTCCCATTTCAATATTTAATAAGCACTTATGCTGGGTACTGGGACATGTTTGTGAACAAAATATCCATGATCCCTGCCCTCATGGAGCTTACATTCTGGTAAAGGAGTCAGAACATAAAGTAAAAAAGATATAGAAATAAAATTACCGCAAATTATGATAAGAGCTATGAAGAATATTAACACTGCTATCAGGAGTTAAAGGGGCTGGAGGGTGGTTTCCTTGTGTAGATTCGGTATCAGGAAAGGCCTCTTTGAGATGACATTAGGAGTATCTGGAGTATTGAATAGACCCACGACACAAGATAATCTTTCCCAGCTAACCTCTCTGCCAGGCTTTCAACATGCACCATTTAAACAGTGTCTGTAAAACTATGCACTCTAGGCAAATTACCTGGAGTGCAGGTATTCTGTACGAGAATTAAGAAAATGTCATGAATTTTAGAAACCAAGAAGCTGGTTTTAAAATTAACAAGTCTAAGCAACATTTTAGCTCAAATGCAAGCTAGAGATGGTACTGAATAAATAGTGGGGTTTAGAGAAGACAGCCATAAAATATGAAAGAAATACAGACATGGGTTTCAGGTGTTGTTTTAAATTCGAATTGTGTTAACAACAAGTTTAGTGAGTCCAAGTCTTCCTTCCATACTCAGAGGGTCCTCTGGATCTCTGAAGTGACTCCGAGCCACCATGCCCTGGGCAGCTCCATTCTCACAAGCCCCTAGACTACACTAAAAGGGTCCTGCCTACCATGCAAGATTGAGGGATATCTCAATCCTTCTCATATGAGCAGCTAAACGAGTCTCTTTAATTTAATCATCCAATATTGTACTATGTTTAAAAATTAGTTTCTTTTGGGTGGAAAATTCTGTTTGCATAAAAAATTAAGTGAAAACAAATATACAATGAAAAATAATTCTCCTTCTGACTTCAGTCTCAAAATCTCTAACCTCCGTCTCCAAAAGCTGCCAATGGTAAACAGTTTCTTGTGTATAATTCAAGATATGCTTAATGTACACACAAGCAATGATACTTGTATTACACCCATGCACCCTGCCACTGTCCCCCCAACACAATGTAAACCCTAATAGCGGGAATAGTACATATATATCCCATGTCACCTTTCCTCTCATTTAGCAAAATATCTTGGAGGTTATACACTGCATTTTATAGATCTTAGTTTGATTAAGATCTTCCAGTTGATGCTTCTGTTTGTGCCCCCACTCTTTGCTGTTATTAACAGTGCTAAAATGAACATTCTATATAAGTATTTTTGTGCCCATGTGTGAGCATATCTGGAGGAAAAATTCCTTATTTTAGTATTATTTTTTAATTTCAATAGGTTTTGGGGGGACAGGTGGTGTTTGGTTACGTAAATAAGTTCTTTATTGGAGGTTTCTGAGATTTTGGTGCACCCATCACCAAAGCAGTGCACACTGTACCCAATATGTAGTCTTTTATCCCTCACCATACCCCATCCTTTGCCCGGAGTCCCCAAAGTCCAATGCATCATTCTTACACCTTTGCATCATCATAGCTTAGCTGCCACATATCAGGGAGAACATACAATGTTTGGTTTTCCATTCTTGAGTTACTTCCCTTAGAATAATAGTTTCCAATTCCATCCAGGTTGCTGTGAATACCATTATTTTGTTCCTTTTAATGGCTGAGTAGTATTCCATGGTGTGTGTATATGTGTGTATATATATATATATATATATATATATATATATATATATACATATATACATACCACATTTTCTTTATCCACTTGATTGATGGGTATTTGGACTGGTTCCATATTTTTGCAGTTGCAAATTGTGCTGCTATAAACATGTGTGTGCAAGTATCTTTTTTGTACAATGACTTCTTTTCCTCTGGGTAGATACCCAGGAATGGGAGTGCTGGATCAAATGGTACTTCTGCTTTTAGTTCTTTAAGGAATATCCATACTGTTTTCCATAGTGGTTGTACTAGTTTACATTCCCACCAACAGTGTAAAAGTGTTCCCTTTTCACCACATCCCAGCCAACAACTATTTTTTTTTTGATTTTTTGATTATAGCCATTCTTGCAAGAGTAAGGTGGTATCTCACTGTGGTTTTGATTTGCATTTTGCAGGTAATTAGTAATGCTGAGCGATTTTTAATATACTTGTTGGCCATTTGTATATCTTCTTTTGAGAATTGTCTTTTCATGTCCTTAGCCCACTTTTTGATGGGGTTGTTTGTTTTTTTCTTGCTGATTTGTTTGAGTTCATTGTAGATTCTGGATATTAGTCCTTTGTCAGATGTATAGATTGCAAAAATTTTCTCCTACTCTGTGGGTTGTCTGTTTACTCTGCTGATTATTGCTGTTGCTGTGCAGAAGCTTTTTAGTTTAATGAAGGCCCATCTATTTATGTTTGTTTTTGTTACATTTGCTTTTGGTTCTTGGTCATGAAGTCTTTCTCTAAGCCAATGTCTGAAAGGATTTTTTCAATGTTATCTTCTAGAATCTTTATGGTTTCAGGTCTTAGATTTAAGTCTTTGATCCATCTTGAATTGATTTTTGTATAGGGTGACAGATGAGGATCCAGTTTTGTTCTTCTACATGCAGCTTGCCAATTATCCCAGGACCATTTGTTGAATAGGGTGTCCCTTCCCACTGTATATTTCTGTTTACTTTGCCAAAAATCAGTTTGCTGTCTAAGTATCTGGCTTTATTTCTGGGTTCTCTATTCTGTTTCATTGGTTTATGTACCTATTTTTATATCAATACCATGCTGTTTTGTTTACCATGACCTGATAGTATAGTCTGAAGTTGGATAATGTGGTGCCTCCAGATTTTTTTTTTTTTTTTTTTTTGCTTAGTCTTGCTTTGGCTATGAGGGCACTTTTTTGGCTCCATATAATTTTAGGTTTTTTTTTTTTCTAGTTCTGTGAAGAATGATGGTGGTAATTTGATGGGAATTGCATTGAATTTGTAGATTGCTTTTGGTAGTATGGTCATTTTCACAATATTGATTCTACCCATCCATGAGCATGGGATGTGTTTCCATCTGTTTGTGTCATCCATGATTTCTTTCAGCAGTGTATTGTAGTTTTTCTTGTAGAGGTCTTCACGTCCTTGGTTAAGTATATTCTTAAGTGTTTTTTTTTTATTTTTTGGTTTTTTTTTTAGCTATTGTGAAATCTTGATTTGATTCTCAGTTTGGTTGCTGTTGGTGTATAGGATTGGTGTATAGCTACTGATTTGTGTATATTAATTTTGTATCCTGAAACTTTGCTGAATTAATTAACCAGCTGTAGGAGCTTTTTGGATGAGTCTTTAGGGTTTTCTAGATATATGACCCTATCATCAGCAAACAGCAATAGTTTGACTTTCTCTTTACTGATTTGGACACCTTTCATTTCTTTCTCTTGTCTGATTGCTCTGGCTAGGAATTCCCATACTATGGCAAATAGAAGTGGTGAAAGTGGGCATCCTTGTCTTGTTCCAGTTCTCAGGGGGAATACTTTTAACTTTTCCCTGATCAGTATAATGATGGCTGTGGGCTTGTCATAGCTGGCTTTTATTACGTTAAGGTATGTCTCTTCTATGCTGATTTTGCTGAGGGTTTTATCATAAAGGAATGCTGGATCTCATCAAATGCCTTTTCTGCATCTATTGAGATGATCATGTGATTTTTGTTTTTAATTCTGCTCATGTGGTGTATCACATTTATTGCTTATGTATGTTAAATCATCCCTGCATCCCTGGTATGAAACCCATGATCATGGTGGATTATCTTTTTGATATGCTGTTGGATTTGGTTAGCTAGAATTTTGTTGAGGATTTTTTCACCTATGTTAATCAGGGATATTGGTCTGTAGTTTTCTGTTTTTGTTGTGTCCTTTCCTCATTTTGGTATTAGGGGGAATACTGGCTTCACAGAACGATTTAGGGACAATTCCCTCTTTCTCTATCTTTTGGGATAGGGTCAATAGGATTGGTACCAATTCTTCTTTGAGTATCTGATAGAATTCAGCTGTGAATCTGTCTAGTTTTGGACTTTTTGTGACAATTTTTTAATTACCGTTTCAATCTCACTGCTTGTTATTGGTCTCTTCAGAGATTTGATATCTTCCAGGTTTAATCTAGGAGGGTCGTATAGTTCTAGAAATGTATCCATCTCCTCTAGGTTCTTAGTTTATGCACATAAAGGTGTTCACAGTATCCTTTAATAATTTTTTGTATTTCTGTGGTATCAGTTGTAGTATCTCCTGTTTCATTTCTAATTGAGCTTATTTGGATCTTCTCTCTCCTTTTCTTGGTAAATCTTGCTAATGGTCTACCAATTTTACTTATCCTTTCAAAGAAACAGCTTTTGTTTTATTGATCTATTATATTATTTTTTGTTTCAATTTCATTTAGTTCTCCTCTGGTCTTATTTCTTTTCTTCTGCTGGGTTTGGGTTTGGATTGTTCTTGTTTCTCTAGTTTTGTGAGGTGTGACCTTAGATTGTCTATTTGTGCTCTTTCAGACGTTTTGATATAGGCATTTAATGCTATGAACTTTCCTCTTAGCACTGCTTTTGCTGTTATCTCAGAGGTTTTCATAGGTTGTGTCACTATTATTGTTCAGTTCAAAGAATTTTTAAATTTCCATCTTGATTTCATTGTTAACCCAGCAATCATTCAGGAGCAGGTTATTTAATTTCCATGTATCTGCTTGGTTGTGAGGGGTTCTTCTGGAGTTGATTTCCAGTTTTATTCCACTGTGGTCTGAGAAAGTACTTGATATAATTTTGATTTTCTTAAATTTACTGAGACTTTTTTGTAGTCTATCATATGGTCTATCTTTCTTGGGTCCTTTCTTGATGTGGTGTTCTCTCCCTTCCTCTAGGAAAGGGGCTTCCTGAGAATTGAACTGTAGTGATTGTTTTTGCTCTTCTGGGTCTAGCCACCCAGCAGAGCTAAGGGTTCTGGGCTGGTAGTGGTGAGTGCCTGCACAGAGTCCTGTGATGTGATCTGTCTTCAGGTCTTGTAGCCATGGATACCAGCACCTGCTCTGGTGGAGGTAGCAGGGGAGTGAAGTGGACCCTGTGAGAGTTCTTGGTTGTGTTTTTGTTTAGTGCCCTGGTTCTGTGTTTGTTGGCCTCCAGCCAGAAGGTGGAGCTTTCAAGAGTGCATCAGCTGAAGTCCAATAAAGAGGATGAAAACTTGCCCTATAGACACTTGGTTATGTATTCAAGTTTCTCAGGTAGTGGGCAGAGGCATAGGGCTCCCAAGAAATTATAGCCTTTGTCTTTGGCTACCAGGGCAAGTAGAGAAAAATCACCAGGTGGGGGCAGGGATATGCGTATCTGAGCTCAGCCTCTCCTTGGATGGGGCTTGCTGTGGCTGTGGTGGGGGATGGGTGTGATTCCCTGTCCAGCGGAGTTATACTCCCAGGGGTATTATGGCTGCCTCTGCTGAGTCATACAGGTCACCAGGGAAGTGGGGGAAAAGCCAGTACTCAAAAGCCTCACCCCACTCCCAAGCAACCCACAGTCCTAACGGCTGGTCTCACTCCCACTGTGCTCCCCAACAACAGCATCGAGTCTATTTCCAGGCAGCTGGTGACCAGGGCCGAGAACTTGCCCTAGACCATGAGCCTCCCCATTGAGAAAGCAAGCAGACTCACAGTTTTTTGGCATCTCAGGGAGCTTGCAGGGGTGATCCAGTTCTTCAAAGGGTCTGTGGATTCTCTTGGCTTTCCTGGTATGTTTCTGTGGTAGTTCTTGGAGCAAAAGTTCACGATGTGAGTCTCCATACTGCTCCGTCCATCTGAGTGGGAGCTGCAAGCTAGTCTCGCTTCGTATTCATCATCTTAATCCCCCTGAGGAAAAATTTCTAAATTGGAATTGCTAAGTCAAAGGAGATGCACATTTTAGGTTTTGTAACAATTACCAAATTCCATTCTAAAGAGGGGACACAAATTTATATTCCCATTAATAACAAATGAAAAGAAAATGTCCATGCGTCAAACAACATGGTAACTGTTTTACTTACAATAATCTTTAGAGAAGTTATGATTATTATTCCTAATTTCAAACTGAGTTAACTGAGGCTCTGCTTAACTGAAGTAGGTTAAGCAACTTGACAAAAGTCACACAGAATTAACTGAATAAACTGGGAGCTGGGGTCAACAGTCTAACCTATTACCCCTTATGCTATACGGCCTCCCTGAATTTCAGTCCCAGCTCTCTCACTTAAAGCTGACAGCCTGGCCAAATTGTTTACCTCAGCTCTATAGTTTCTTTATATTTAAAAGAAGATAAAATGTATCTCAAAATATTAATATGAGGATAAAATGAGACAATGTCGAGAAAATTTCATGCAAGGGGGGTTAAACAAATGTAAATTTGCTTTTTTCCTATTGAGAAACATAAATCACAAAGAAGAATAATCTATTTCCCTGGCAAATTTTTTTCAGTAGTTAGAAATTAAAGAAGCAAATGTGACCCATTTTAATGTTAAAATAAAAGCAATAAAGCCAATAGGAGCTGTGATGGAACTCACCTCCCTGTCTTTCTCATACAAAGTCTTTAATGCTGATGGGTTTGCTCTTGGCCTAGCTCCTTCGCACAGTATTGTTTGCAACCAGAGTCATTCTGCTTGGCTGATTCCTTAATGCCCAACCTTATTCCCTTTCTCTAAAAATTCTGTTTCTCTAGAAATGTGGATGGAATAAGGATTGCTAAAGCTATGTGTTCTGGGAACACTGAACCACCTATTCCAAGACAGCCTTGAATGAACCTTCTCTTCAGTCTCCACAATCCAGGACTGCACAAGGAGGGTGACTCGTGCATTCTTTACTCCATATATGTCAGCTCCACAGTGTGCAGGATGTTCATGTACAACCTCACACTACTGGCCTGTCTCTTCCCATCTCTGAGTGGTCAGTATAGCTCAGTAATAGGTTCCAAATGGGAAGGGTGACATTTATTCATAGCTGAGCTCAGAAAATTTAGAACCACATAAAATGTCCAAATTTAAAACTCCCTGTTTTTACAATCGGGTTATAAAATAACAAACACCCTGACAATTATGCTAACTCTATCCTTCACTTTCACACTTGCCTGATCCATTACCCTATCTGTGAGTCCTGATGCTTTCCTCACCCTGGATACATCCATAGTATGCTCCCTGTCCCATTCCTTCTACAACAAGGGTGCTAACCAGAAATGGAGTGAGGCTCAGGTATTTATCCATTCATTTTTCTCCACAAATATTTTCTAAGGGCCATACACTATTCAAAGCACTGGAATGAATATGCCTGTCTTTCCTTCATTTTTACTTCCTTCTTTTCTTTTTCTTTCTTTCCCTTCCTTCCTTCCTTTCTTCTTTCTTTCCTTCCTTCCTTTTGTTTTCTTCCTTTCTCTCTCTCTCTTCAATTATTTTCCTTTCAGATTATGTAATTATTTTTACTTGGAAAATTTAATATTGTGTCTCTTTTAGCTGGGTAAAATATGTCTAATTTCAAAGTAGCCAAGTCATAATGTCCTATAGCACCAAAAAGTGTTTCAGCTCCTAGATTTCCAAATAATGTAATTTAGAAAATAGAAATAATTGCAGATTCATACACAAAAAAATTTATTTATTTTTTATTCTTTTTTTTTTGAGATGGAGTCTCTCTCTGTCACCCAGGCTGGAGTGCAGTGGCGTGTTCTCAGCTCACTGCAACCTCCGCCTCCCGGGTTCAAGCAATTCTCCTGCCTCAGCCTCCCGAGTAGCACACAAACAAATTTTAAATGATCCTATGGACAAAAGGTTCTGTTCTTTCCATTGGTACTACCACTATTGCACATTTATGAAAGTAATTTAGAGACATGTACAAGGAAAATCTGTCTCTAAAAGGCTTCCAAATTTAGTAAATTGGGATATTTTACAATCACCTGTTTTAGTTTATGATAAATACAATTTACTTGTTCATTTTATGCACTCTGGTCAAATTAGAGCAGTTAGTTCATGCTTTAATGTATTAACACAACACAGCAAAAAGCATATAAAAATATAAAAGAAAACACCCGAAACACATGTCTGAGTTCAAAGCCTATTAAGCATTCCTGTGCACCAGAAATAGAAAAGAAATGCAGAACTGAGCATAGCTGAGGCCACAGCCATGCTGGGCTCTTGTCCTGAAGTAGGCAGTGACAGCTGAGAACCAGGGAAGGAGAATTGAAGGTGTTCCATGGAAATTAGCATACTGGAGCCAGATTTGAAAACAGAGGCTAGATGAGGCTCCTTCTGGTAAAAGGAGGTTAAAAATCTGCAGCCAACCATTCCCTGGGGCCATGGCTTTGCAGAGAACTTCAGAAACAAGAGAACTAACACACATTGCACTTGAGGAAGGGTGCTAAATGCACCTGGCCTGGGGCCTGATATCATATGCCTGCTGAGACCAAGGGCAGGTGTTCTGCAATGTCATACAGCACTAGGTTTGGAGGTAGGGTTCAGGAATTTGGGAGAAGGAAATGCAAAACTGCTAGATAGAGAAATTTGAAGAAAGAGAAAGAAGGGGAGCAATTTCATTCAACATGATGCTGCAAAACAGAATTTCAAAGCGGGAGAATTCTAATGCTGTGAAAGTAATCCTGCCAAAAATCAACAATTGGAACATAATTTCATTCCAGGTGAAATTTTATTAAACTGATCTAGCCAAAACTTAAGAATAAATATGCTTTGAATGCTTAAGGGGAAAAATGGAAAAAACTATGCACTTTTTTTAAAAAAACATAAAATGTGAAAAGCAGACAGATATGAAACAAGCCAAATAAATTAAAAAGCAGAATGATTAGACATCTTGGGAGTTAAAAATCTATTCATTGCAATAAAAAATTCAAAGATAGGGTAAACTTTGGAACAGAGGCAACAAAAGAAAAACAATAAACTGAAAAATATTACTGAGGGATTTACCCAGAAGACAGCATAGAGAATAAAATATGGAAGAATGCTAAGCAGAGAGATCACACAGGGTAGTATGCTTGGGAGAGTTCCAATTTACATCTGTTGTCCTGATATAATTATTAGTGGCACTTCTTTTAACTCCCAAATGCATCTCCCCTGAGAATCAGGGAAGGAGAAGTGAAGGTGCTCCATGGAAGTTAGCAGACTGGAGCCAGGTTTGAAAACAGAGGCTAGGTGGGGCTCTGGTTATATAAACATAATTATATAAATATAATTTATTAGGCAATAGTTGTATGGTCACCTAAAACTATATAGGATAGTCTGAAGACAAATAGGACTGCCTATTTTTCTTTAAGGAAGGAAAAAGTCACAAGAAAGTAATATTTGGAGAGAAAAGAGCTGTGAGTTTTCCAAAATTGAAGAAAAATATGTCCTCAAATTGAAAATGAACTATAAAAACCAAGAAGGATCTACAAAAATATATTCATACCCAGACTTACCAAAGTAAAACTGGAATACATCAAGAATTTGGACATGTTTTTACCAGCTACAAGGAGAAAAACAGGTTACAACAAGAAATGGTAATTAAACAATAAATCAAGTGGGCTTCTCATTAGCAACCATAGATGCCATGAAACAATAGAGAAATAAATTCAATATAATGATGGGAAACTGGAAATTTAGAATATTATATCCAAATAACTTAGCAACACAAACAAGGTGCTGGAAAATAGATTCTCAATCTATAATATATTCCTGTTTAGGTTCTTGGGTTTCTGAGTAGGATAAAAATACTAGATAATTTCAGATATTTTTAAAATTATAGTTATAATTAATATATAATTCACAGCTTTGTATGTTAAAAGCTTAAAAATATTTTTATTGGAAATTAACAATTGAATATATCTATATATGGAAATGTAAAGGACCAAGACCAGAGAAGACAATTTTGAAGAAGGACAAAATCCCTCTAAGGGTTATCAAGATGTATTGCAAAGTGATGATATTTAAGACAGTTTTGCATTAGCATAAAAATAGACAAATAGAAATATGGAAAAGAATAGAAACATTTGTGACAATTTGTTTCATGATAAAGCATAATGCAAATGAAAAAAGAATGGTATTTTTAATAATGATTTTGGGTCAACTGGTTATCTATATGAGGAAAAAACACATTTTGACATCCTACCTCACATGACACACAAAAATCAATTCAGGGTTGGAGGTATATGCCTACCTGAAAAGTAACAATTAAACATCAAGAAGATAAGAGAGAATATCTTTATGACCTTAAGATGGGCAAATTTTTTTAAAGAAAAATAGTGATTAAAGGGACATAATTAAAATTAAGAACCTCTGTTCATCAAAAACCCCAGTAAAATAGTCATATGGTTTGGCTGTGTCCCCACCCAAATCTCATCTTTAATTGGAGATCCCATAATCTCCATGTATCATGGGAGGGACCCGGTAGGGAGTCATTGGATCATGGGGGTGGTTTCCTCCATGCTGTTCTTGTGATAGTGAGAGTTCTCGTGAGATCTGATGGTTTTATAAGTGTCTGGCATTTCCCCTGCTTGCACTCATTCTCTCTCCTGTCACCCTGTGAAGAGATGCCTTCTGCCATGATTGTAAGTTTCCTGAGTCCTCCCCAGCCATGCAGAACTGTGAATCAATTAAACCTCTTTTCTTTGTAAATTGCCCAGTCTCATGTATTTCTTCACAGCAGCATGAGAATAGACTAACACAAATAGTGGAAGAGAAGACCACCAACTGGAAAAGATACTTTCAATATTTTTACCTGACAAAAGATTATTATCCAAAACATATTAAATGTTTCTGTGAAGCCATATAAAAGACAGACAATCCATTAAAAAATTGGAATAAACTTGGATATTGAACAGGTAATACATGAAATACAATACATAAATGGGTGATAGCCATATAAAGTGCTCAAAATCATTAGTAATGAATGAATTAAAAATTGTGTGCATGCAGCTACACACTCATCAGAATAGGTAAAATCTAGAGAAACAGGTATTACCATATATTGAGGATATGCAGCAACTGGAGCTTTTATGCACTACACATGGGAATATAAATTGGTACAACCTCTTCAGAAAACTATTTGGCAGTAACTACTAAAACTAAACATAAGCATAGCCTACAACCCAGTAATGCCAGTATTTCACTCCTAGGTATATACCCAACAGAGTTGTAAATGAAATGTCAATGAAAGGCAGGTACAAAGAATGAAATGAAATTAGAGAATGTTTAAAACAGCATTATTTGTAATCCCCAAACACTAGAAACAATCCAAATGTCCAGCAAGAGTAGAATGGATAAATAAATTGTGGTGCATTCGTTCAATGGGATACTTCATAATAATAAAAGTAAATTAATCATCAATATAATCAATAACATAGATGAGTCTAATAACATAAGAATGAGCAATAGCAGCCAGATGCAGAGTTCATGTCATATCCCATTTATGAAAAGTTCAAAACAGACAAAGCTAATCTATGGTAAAGAAGACAGATATGGTTAACCTTAAGAAGAGAAGGGAGATACTGAGGGCGATTCAGGGTATTGGCAATGTTCTATGTCTTAATCTGAGTTATAGTCACACAGATGTATTTACTTTGTGAAAATATATTAAAATCAACATTTCTGCATATAAGTGTGCTCATCTGTATGTATTTGCTATACATGAAATAGAAAAATAAGGCATAATCTTAGGGTTACCAATATAGAAATAGAAATAATCTTGATATTTTTCAAACCTCCAGAGGAATCAAAAGAAGGAGGAAGAATAGAATGATTTGGAGGAAAAGAAGGAGAAAGTAGAGGAGTTGAAAAAAAGGAAGAAAAAGAAAAATGCAGAATCCTTTGTCAATCCAACAGAACACAGCAAAAAAGCAAAGAAAGTGAAAGGTAAGTAGATAGCACAAAAGGAAATGGTACAAATAAGCCCAAAAGTGTAATGTATCAGAGTCAATGTGGATAAAATTCACCTATTAAAAGGCAGAGATGGGATAATAATAACATAAATCCTGCTGTATCCTGGTTAATAAAAGGCACACCTAACACCAAACCAAAAGAAAATTTTGAACATAAAGTTTTGAAAAACTAAGAGGTTTTTATTAAACCTCTTTTATTAAACCTATTTTATTATTTATAGTAAGATGACGTGTTAGTCCATTCTCATGCTACTAATAAAGACATACCCAAGATTGGGTAATTTATAAAGAAAAGAAGTTTAATTGACTCATAGTTTTGCATAGCTGGGGAAGCCTCAGGAAACTTACAATTATGGTGGGAGGGGAAGCAAAAACATCCTTCTTCACATGGCGGCAGCAGAAGGAAGCGCCCAGCAAAGAGGGAAAACCCCTTATAAAACCATCAGATCTCTTGAGAACTCACTATCATGAGAACAGCAGCATGGGGGAAACCGCCCCATGATTCAATTACCTCCCACCAGGTCCCTCCCACAACAGGTGGGGATTATGGGAACTACAATCCAAGGTGAGATTTGGATGAGGACACAGCAAACCATCTCAGGTGCATTATAAAATAATACAGAACAATCCCCAAGCCAATAAAATAATCTTTAACTTGTATGCACTTAAACATAACATCGCACTAGGCAGAGAAAACTGATAGGATTACAAAAACTGACAAATCCAGAACTATAGTAGGATACGTTAAACACTTCAATAAGAAAAAAGGTCAAAAATAAAAAAGAAAAAGAAGAAAAAACAGGTCAAATAGAAAAAGCTAGAAGAATATAGAATATTTGAAATACTTGGTTGTACCTAGCCCTAGCTTAGCTCTCTCCCTACTCCTGCCTATCTTCCAAGACATACACACCTAAACCCTCAGGCTACTTAGAAGTGAGTATAAATCAATTACAAGCTCTCAAGCTACATCTTGTAGAGAAATACCCTCACATTCAGTTAATATGGGAAGGGACCTAAGGGGAATTCACTCAATCTATACCAGAACAAAAAACAGAGTTCAGATGCAGAGCTCACTGAAAATATGAACAAGATGAAAAAAGGATGACATGAGAACTAGGTAAGCAGAACAAAAAATAAGAATGAAAGGAACTCTATAGCAACAAAGAACACAGAGAAATATTCATGCTATAGAAAATCTTATTAAGTACATGAAATGAATAAAATACAAGCTCAAATGTAAGATGATAACAATACAGAATGATGTAAAAATGGAAATTGACAATATAAGGAAACAAATTGAAACTAAAATAACACCATTACAGAACTTATAAACAAATTACATGCAGAAAGAAATTTAATGGACATGGCTGAAAAATAAATTGCTCTACAAAGAAAAGGCTTGAGATAAGCACAGTAAAATCAACGGAAAAAGATGAACAGATTAGTAGAAATAGAGAGAAGATAATAGCTAGAGAGAAGTGACAAATATGCCATTATATAAAGATAATAGGTATCTCTGAATTGAAAAACCAGTAAATGACTCAGAAAAAGTATTCCAATAGAAAATAGAAAAATAATCCTGTAATGCAAGAATAAGACACTCTGCAACTCAAAAGTGCATATCATATTCCAAGACAAACATATTCAACCCTATTTTTCCTAAGTCATATTCTGTTGTTACTGAATTTAAGAATAAGAAAAAATTATTTAGCCATCCAGAGACAAATAATAAGCCTCTTATATTTGGGAGCAAAGCAGACTGGACTCAATCTTCTCTGGAGTAACATTCTGGGTTACAGGATGATAAAGCAATGTCTACCAAGTTCTAAAGGAAAAGAAATGTGATCCAAAAATATTGTATTCCACTAAGATTCCACTCAAGTATAAATACCACAAATAGATATTCTTAAATGTGAGAGAATATAGTCATGCATTGCTTAATGACAGGGATACATTCTGAGAAATGCATCCTTAGATTGATCTCTTTACTGTGGGAATAGTGTACTTACACAAACCTGATGGTATAACCTAATACACACCTAGGCCATATCATATAGCCTAGCTCCTAAGCTACAAACCTGTACAGCATGCTAATGAACCAAATACTGTAGGCAATTGTAACATAATGGTAAATATTTGCATATCTAAACCTATCGAAACTTAGAAAGGGGATAGTAAAAATGCAGTATAAAAGGTTTTTTTTTGTTTGTCTGTTTGTTTGTTTTTTAATGGTACTCTTGTATAGGACACTTAGTATGAATGGAGCTTGCAGGACTGAGGGTTGCTCCAGGTGAGCCAATGAGTGAGTGGTGAGTCAATGTGAAGGCCTAGGATATTACTGCACACTACCATAGACTTCATAAACACCGTAGAATTAGGCTCCAGTAAATTTATTTAAAACTTTTTTCTTCAGTAATAAATTAATCTTAGTTTACTGTAACTTTTTTACTTTATAAACTAATAATATTTTTTACTTTGTAAACTTTTAAGTTGTTGACTCTTTTTTTTTTTTTTTTTTTGAGTCGGAGTCTTGCTCTGTCGCCCAGGCTGGAGTGCAGTGGCGCCATCTCGGCTCACTGCAAGCTCCGCCTCCCAGGTTCACGCCATTCTCCTGCCTCAGTCCCCTGAGTAGCTGGGACTACAGGCTCCCGCCACCAGGCCCGGCTAATTTTTTTTTTTTAGTAGAGACGGGGTTTCACCGTGTTAGCCAGGATGGTCTCTATCTCCTGACCTTGTGATCCACCCGCCTTGGCCTCCCAAAGTGTTGGGATTACAGGCGTGAGCCACCGAGCCCAGCCTGTTGAGTCTTTTGAAATAACATCTAGCTTAAAACACAAATGCATTGTACAAAAATATTAGTACAAAATAGAACAAATAGTATAGTTAGTATAATATAGTACAGTAGCACAAAAACATTTCTTTCTTTATATCTTCATGCTATAAGCTTTTTAAATTTTTTAAGTGTTTTTGTTAAAAGCGAAGGCATACACATACCCATTAGCCTAGGCCTACACAGGGTCAGGATCATCAGTTTCACCGTCTTCTATCTTCACATTTTGTCCCACTGGAAGATCTTCAGGGGCAACAAAATGCATGGAGCTATATCAGGTGCAGTGGCTCATACCTGTAATCTCAGCACTTTGGGAAGCTGAGGGGGAAGGATCACTTGGTATCAGGGGCTGGAGACCAGCCCGGGCAACATAGTGAGACCTCGTCTCTGCTAAAAATTAAAAAAAAAAAAAAACCCACAAAAGAGTTAGCTGGGCATAGTGGCGTCCACCTGTAGTCCCAGCTACTTAGGGGGCTAAAGTGGGAGGATCGCTTGAGCCTGGAAAGTCAAGGCTGTGGCGAGACCTCATCCTGCCTCTGCACACCTGGGTGACAGAGCAAGACCTTGTCTCAAATCAAAACAAAAACACATGGAGGTGTTGTTTCCTGTGATAACAGTGTCTTCTTCTTGAACATCTCCTGAAAACTTACCTGAGGTTCTTCTTGAGCAGGTGTCACTCTTTTCAGAAATATGTCTATAGTTGTTTGTTTGGTTTGTTTCCTTTTTCAGCATAGATTTGCTTGTAAGTAGATAATGCATCATGAGCATCTTCTCTATTGATGAAAATCTTTCGGTGTTGGGATCTGTTTATAACTGCATCATCACAAACATGTGAGTAATGCGTTGCACCACATTATGATGGCCATGAACTCACTAGGCCATAGGAATTTTCAGCTTCATTATAATCTTAAAGCACCACTGTCATATATGCAGTCCACTGTTGACTGATTGTTACGTGGCACATGGCTGTGCAAAGATGATAGCACACATTAGCTTTCTTGAGGCTCCAGGAACTGTCCAGCACAGTAAGTGAAATTTTTTAAAAAATCCTAAACATAATATTGAGAGATTTGCAAATATCAAGGTTAAAGAGAATATTCTGAAAGCTTCAGAGAGAAAAGACAGCAACACTGAAGTCATGCAAGGAGCATCAACTTCAAAAGTCTGGTGAAACTGACTTTGAACTTAAACATCTTTACCCAGCCAAATCATTCATCAAGTATGATGATAGAATAAAAGTATTTTCCAATCTCTAAAGACTCATAAAATGTATCTCCCCTGCATCCTTTATTATGAGGTTACTTATGGGTCAGAAAGAAACATTGAAAAAAGTAATTTAAAATGGGAAAGGCATGGGATGTAGGAAACAGCAAGTCTAACCTGGGACAAGAAGAAAGGGAAGATCCAAGCTGACTGCTGTGCAGCAAAATCAGTCCTAAAGTAGGGTCCGAAAATAAGTGTACATTTAAAAAAAGGTGTATGCTGGGGCAGAGTGGTATTTCATAAACTTGATAGTATCCTTAAAACAGCTATCATAAACCTAAAGATTGGCTAAAGAAAAAAAAAAGGCAAGTAGAAATTTGAGGGAAAGGAGCACTGTACGCAAAAACTATATGTTATGTAATCACTGCTTGGCTCAGCAATGAACCACATTCACATAGTTGTGATAATGTAAGCAATGCCTGCTGATTTTTCAACTTCTAACGTCTAAACAAAGTGAAAACACAGACAATCTAACTGTGGTTATATGATAAAAGGTAATTTTTTTGAGGCTTACCAATACAAAAGTGAAAACAAATCTTGCAAAGGTAAGGAAGAGAAAGGGGGGAGGGATTAAGGGCCTTCTTCACCTTACAAGGTATGGGGTCACGATAGGTTGTGTCTAACTAACAGAACAAGAAATCAGGAGAAAACGTATAGTCTTGCAGGTATGAAAGTAACCACAAGAGGAATTAAAAGTAGTAAAACTTGCTGTGGGAAGAGGAAGAGAGGGGAGTCAAGTGAAGTATAAGTGAGCTAAAACCTCATTTACCATGGCAGGAAGTTGGTAGATAATGTTTAAAGTAGATAATCCAAACCCTCATGACTAATCAACTTAGAATTTTAAAAATGTAAAATAAAAGTTATCAAGGGTTTAAGATGACATACTCAGGAAGGGATGGGATGTGGTAACCGATGGTTGCTTTTTATAGCAAGCCCTTTAATGCTGTTTATTCTTTATAAAATTTTCCTTATTTTGACAAAATTGTATATAACTATATATGCATGTATACACACACACATACACACACATTTCAAAGGAGTGGCTATTAGTAAAATGTAATAATATTAAATAGTATCTTTTCTTATAAAACAATGTCTGCCATCTATCCACCTATCTAAGAAATGCATAAATAGTTTTTTACAACAATATTTAGCTCATATTTCCAAGTGGTAGGGTTTCAGGAGAATTTTGACATTGTTATTCTTACTTTTCTGTATTCCCTGAATAATTATTGTCTTTATATCACTTTTCTAATAATAGCATCTTTATTGTATACTCTCAATGCTGGGAGGGCAGGAGATATAAATAAACAAAAGTGGAAGCAGGGAGGAGGCCATGAAACTATTACAAAAGCCCATGTGAGAAAACATAGTGGTGTGGACTAAGAAGCTTACATTTGAAATGAAGAGAAACAGGCAGGTTCATGACATAATTTGGAGGGAGAAACAACAGTACTCTAGGCTTGAATGTTGATGGTAGGAACAAGAGGAATCAAGACCATAGTTGCTCACCTGAGCTATCATGAGCATGGAGGCCATAGACAGAGAGAGAATTGAATGTTTTATTTCCAAGTTGAAAGTAGTTACAGACAGGATTGAGAATTTGGCTTTATATAGCCTAAATTTGAATATTTGAGAAACATACAAGTAATAGTCATGTAGTCATTTGCATATATGCAGTTATTTGCATATGCAGTCACGCTGAACATATATATTTGACATTTGTCAGCAAATAGAAAGGATATAAAGCTGTGAGAATGTATGAGAGCACCTAGAAGTGAGGACTGAGAAAAGGCAGAAGAGAACCTTGGACCAAGCACAGATGGCCTCCAACACTGATAGATCTGAGACAGAGAGGGAATCCTGGAAACGAAGTAAGAAGAGAGAGCAGGGATAATTTAGTAGGTAAAAATTCAGCAGGGTGTGGCTTCAGGGAAGCTGAGGGAGGAGGCTATTTCCAGGAGAAGGGAGCATTGAAGTCCTTGAAGTAAGAGGGAAGGGGCTACAACCCCAAGCAGAATGATTAGCTCTTTATTGGATAAGGGACACTTTATACATCATAACAAAAGGGAAGAAGAAAAAAAGGGAAAGGGTTGCAGGTGTAGATATCTTTTGTAGCCTCAGTGGTGAGAAGATGGAGTCTGATGGCTTCCATTTTCTAGATGTAGCAGGAGATAAGATCATCTGCTGAGACTGAGGAGAGAAAAAAGGCAAAAAATTACGGCTGATGGAGAGATGACAGCATTAGGTGGAAGCCTCAAGTAATCTTAGGGCCATTAATACTCATTACCTAGTTACTTTAGTTATGGAATCAGTAATCTTAATCATATTTTCATTTTCAATAGCCTAGGTTTTGTTTAATCCATTTCCTGAATAAAGGAATGCTAGTATTCAACAAACATACATAGAATCATAGAATGTTCGAATGTAAAGAAATCTTAGATATTGTATGTCCCAGTCTTCACTATACAAATGATAAAACTAAGGCTTAATTTAAGGAATTTTTCTAAAATTAAAGAACTAGTTGGTGACAGGTAGAAATGAAACATAAGCTTTTAGATTCTCAATCTATTGGTATGAAAGCTCAGACACACAGTTACACAGACACACAGACACGCCCCTCTGCACAGAAAATCAAAAAGGTTACTAGACTCAACTAATGTCAACTAAAAAATTAGTCCTTGTCAGTTTCTTTGGGCAATAATACAAATATATATTGCAATATTGCATACAGTGAGCTTCTGAAGATGTGTAAAAATTTTAAATCACAGTAACTAACTGCTAAAGAAGAAATCTGTATTGAATATGTTTTGAAAGGCATCTTTTCACAGTCTATATTATCAAATAATTCATCTCATTTTATGTTGGTAGTTATTATTTCTTAGAGACATAGTTTATCACCTTCCATTATTCCAATAGCTTCCTAAGTTTCTCCACAAAAAAATCCCAAGAGGTAGGGAAAATTATTCCCTGCTTGTATTTTGTCATTTGATTAATATTTTCAGAATTGCATCCAAATGATTCTACTTGTTTTTCACACTCCAACAGGCAGCCACCTGCCACCACCTTCAAAAAGGAAATATCCTATCATATCTTCTACTCTACATAAATAACTTCTTCCCTAGGAGAAGGGAAAATGCAGAGTGGTATTTACCCTTATTTTTTTTTTTTTCAAATATTCTGGTTGGATTTTGTAATGTTACGCTAATATCTTTTTGCCTTTGTGGATATTTATATATACTTCCCATTTTCCTTTCAGGTCATAATTCATCCCTTTCACCTAATATTCAGTATTTGCTGGAATATTAAACTTATTACATTTGAAAATGTTATTTGAAATATTTTTCTGTACAGTTATGAGGCATCCCAGTGATCATATAATTAAAAATTTCACAATATTCCATTAGGCTATATACCGACTACCACTGCACCCCAAAAAAGCTTGCTAATTTCATTCATTCCTACGTATCCATGTGGGCAAACTCAAATGAAGATGCACCAACAGAAGAGTAAAATATATTGCTTCCTCTTACTCCTACACAGATGTTCATGGCATGGATGAATGGAGAGGGCCACAAAGCATGGTCCCTGTATTTTTTGGCTCCTCCGCAAATACTAAAGACTTGGACAAGGACAGCTCTCCTATTGTAATCATGGCCAGAAATGGGTTTACTCTGAAACTAATGAAGAAGATTAATTCCTAGTAAAGTGTTCACATGTTCATACGCTTTTGTAAAATTTGCTAAAGTAAGATATTCTTATTGCAATTGGGTAATGCTATTGTCATCTTCTACCACGACTTCTCCTGCATCATACTCCTCCTCTGGCAGAAGGTCCCAGAGCAGCCATGGAGAAGTGCTGGGTCCAGCATAATATACTTACATGGTTCACAGCCAACTCCATGTATAGTTAGATTGGTTGCCACTGCATAGTTTGCTTCCAGAAAAACTTCTACCATCTCCTATGACTGTTCATCTTGCATATTACACAAAGGTGCCTACAATTCCTACTTTCAGAACATGTAAGCAGTGAAAGATAAATGAGGAATGAGGCTTGAAATACCTGGAAACATAATTTCATCTTCCAATAATCAGATATCTAAAATTGTGAGAGTTAGGCTTTTACTGATTCTCAATCAAAACAAAAGTTCTCTCCCACCAAAACATGTACTCAATAATGGCCTAAAATCTCATAATTTGTATATGAAAGAAACATTAGAGATTTTTCCAAATTTGGCAACAATGCTTAAAATTTCAGGACATTACCCAAAACAAGTTATAAAGGCAGAAAGTTTCTAAGTAATTGCATTCTATAAAGTTCAATCAGACATGCTTGAGGAAAGACTAAATTACCTCACTACTGTCTTTATTACAAATATTATAAAAATTGATGTCTCATGAAAAGTTGATTGATAGATTACAGCCAAAAAATGAAAAGATGTATTAGGGAGTTAAGTAATTTTATATATATATATATACACACACACACACACACACATACATATATAATGTGTATTACATATTATATATGTGTATATATACAAATATACATATATATGTATGTAGATATACATGTGTACTATATATACACATTATAATATAAACATTATATATAAATATATATAATTTTTCAGGATTCTTCTATTTGTGGTATTTGTTAGCTTTTAAAAGTTATACTTAGATGTGATTTCTTTCGCATTCTAAATAAACATTTATATTTGTACCTGACTTTCTTTTTATAACTTTTGAATTATTTTTCTTGAAGTTGGTTATGAAAACAAACAAATAAATAAATAAATGTCAGACTCCCAAAAATCTGAGTCCCCTTGGTGACCATACAGCTCTGCTAGCCTGGACAGACATTCTAATTTGGAGGTAGGCAAAATACTGGACAAAATTAAATGGGAGAATTGAAGACTTTCTTCTCATCACCCACCATGCTTTGGGACTGTATGTTATTCACGACAATGGAAGCTCTTAGCTTTAACAGAGTAAAAATAATTGCTCTAAGATAATGATGCTTTGCATTTTGTCTAATTTCTCATAAGGGAGGTAATAAAAATTGATTCTCAGAAGATCAACATAGGAAAAAGTTTTGAAGTGTAGGTCTGTGTCCTGGTAGTTTTCGTGGCCAGGCTGGTGGTCACTAATTACAAAAGGATGACTCATTTCTTTTCCCCACACATAAATTTGTCTCTGGTCACAAATTGCATAGACTTAGATAGGTTTTGATACTCCAAGTCACATGTTTGCCATTTGGAGAAGTAATGAGCACATTTAAGGAAAACCTCTAAAGAAATAAGGCTAGGTGGCTGGGCGTGGTGGCTCACACCTGTAATCTCAACACTTTGGGAGGCTCAGGCAGGCAGATCACTTGAAGTCAGGAGTTTGAGACCAGCCTGGCCAACATGGTGAAGCCCCGTCTCTATTAAAAATACAAAAATTAGCTGGGCTTGGTGGCGCATGCCTGCAGTCCCAGCTACTTGGAGGCTGAGGCAGGAGAATCACTTGAACCCGGAAGCAGAGGTTTCAGTGAGCCGAGGTCACACCACTGTACTCCAGCCTGGGCGACGGAGCAAGACTCCATCAAAAAAAGAAAGAAAGAAAGAAAGAAAAGAAAGAAAGAAAGAAAGAAAGAAAGAAAGAAAGAAAGAAAGAAAGAAAGAAAGAAAGAAAGAAAGAAAGAAAGAAAGAGAGAAAGGCTAGCAACACAAGCTATCCAGAGACCATAAATTGCCATGGAGCAGCTCATGATTTTCTGAAGTGCAAACTACTAACCTGGTCATCTTTAATTCACCTGATGGATAAGAAATAATGTGAGTCAGTGAGACAAGGATACTTAAATCAATGGCTGCCTTACAAGAAAAGAGTCGAAATACAGGTATTTTGTTTTAAGGCACACTGAAAAGAGCTTGATCCGCTCAAAATATTTTTCCAAAGTAAGAGTCATCTCTTTTTAAAAATTATCTTTTCCACAGTCTTCTTGACAATATTAATCCTTTTATTTAGGAAGCATGACACAAAGCCTCTGTGATTTTAGGGAAATTCTACCACACCGCTTTCCCTCCTTGGTTAGAATCACATGTTTAAACTTGAAGAGGCTATTGCTGTGGTTATAAACATTTCTACTCCTGTTATTTGATCAATCTGATTGCAATCTGCGAAGGAAAATTGCTATAAACTACTTGAATGTGAATGATGTACAATTGTCTTAAGATGCTCAATAGAGTAGAAACCACCTCAAGAAAAAAAATTTTTTGCAGTATGGTTTGTTTTTCCTCAACTTTTTATTTTTAAGAAGTCAAACCAACAAAAAAAAATGTCTAAAGCATAGTACAGTTAATATCTATATATTCTCCACCTAGATTCACCCGTTGTTAGCATTTTGCCTGTTTGTCATTTCCCTTTTACTTTCTACGTTTTGTTTTGCTTTTTCCTACAGAACCATTTGAATATAAGTTGCAGACATCATAATACTTCTGCACTGGGTACTTTAGTATGTGTCACCTAAAAACAAATACGTTTTTCTTCCTAACCACAATATCTCTCTAACCACAATACCATGAGATTATTACACACAAGGCAGTTCACATTGATGCCCTAATGCCATCAAATTAAAATCTATATTCAAATGTCTTCAGTTATTCTAATGTCTCTTATTCCTGTTTTATTTTTCCAGGATCTAATCAAGAGTCACTCCTTGCAGTAATGTTCACGTTTCCTTCGTCTCTGAAAAGATATCCCTCTAGGTATTTGTTTGCCTTTCTTGACATTGACTTTTCTTTTTAACCAATTAAGGCCAGTTGTCTTATTTAGTGCCCCAAATTTCAACTGGACTGTTTTATCACGATTACATTCATGTTCACCATTTTTGGCAATACTACATAAGTATACTTCCCACTGCTTCTCATTCAGAGGTATAGGATGTCAGTTTGTCCCATTATTGATAATGCTAACACTGATCACTCATTTATGGTGGTGTTTCCAAGATCTCAACATTGTAAAGGAATCTTTTACACTTTGAAATTAATGTCATCTGTGGGATAATACTTTGAGGGGACCATGTGAATATCTTATGCCCCAACAATTTCTCACTCAATGGTTTTACCGTCCATTGAGAATTTTTGCCTGAATAAATGATTATGGTGAGTGTTTGGAAAAGGGGGATTTCTAATTCTATTATTTATATATTCATTAATTGGCATTCTTTTGTGAAGAAGTACTTTTCATATCCATCTGCCTTTTTAGTGAGTATCATTTTTGGACTTGTGGGTTCTTTTATTTACTAGGTTGTAATCCATTACCTATATTATTCTTTTTGATGTTCAAATTATCCCAAACATGGCAAGTGGGATTCCATTCAGACAGCTCTTGAGTCTTTTTATGTCCCCATGCTTCTGGCAAAAGATGTCCAAGCTTTACCTTGTACTTTCTTGATCCCTTCCTGGAACCAGCCATTTCTGAAAGAACTCTGATATTTTTTCTTTTTTAGTGGGGAACATATTTAGAAATACATATACGTCTGAAGTTCACACTGATAGCTACAATTCAAATCCAATACCTTCTTCCATTTCACATTAGTAACTCCTATGTCTTGCAGTGAAAACATTGGTTCCCAACAACGTAAATATATTTCCTAATTTGTCTTTTCTACAGTACATACAAAATAGGTCCAGTATGATTACATCAATAGCCTTATCAACAACAAAACTTAGCCGAAAGCGATGGCTCATGCCTGTAATCCCAGCACTCTGGGAGGCCAAGGTGGGCAGATCATGAGGTCAGGAGTTCAAGACCAGCCTGGCTAACATGGTGAAACCCTGTTTCTACTAAAAAATAGAAACCCTGTTTCTACTACAAAAATTAGCTGGACGTGGTGGCGGGCGTCTGTAATCCCAGCTACTCTGGAGGCCGAGGCAGGAGAATTGCTCGAACTCAGGAGGCGGAGGTTGCAGTGAGCCGAGATCGCACCACAATACTACAGCCTGGATGACAGAGCAAGACTCTGTCTCAGGGGTGGTGGGGGGGAACCTCGCAATAAAATTCAAGATTTCTTTGCAGTTTTTCTCATACTTAGAAAAATACATTAATGATATACAGTCAGGGTACGACGTTCAAATTATACTTAAATAAACTTATTTTTTTGTGTGATTGTTATTAATTTTCTATACAAATGGGCTCATTCGTTTGCATTTATATCCAATTACAGGATTATCTTTTCGCATTATTTTTAATTTAATTTTGTTTCTGAATGTGCAAAGCATTTACAGCATTCAAAAGTAAAAACGATATAAAAAGTACATACCAAGGAGTCTCACTGCCAATGCTATCACTTCCACCCTGTTCCCACCCACTTTCTTTCTATGGTAAAAACATATTCATTTTTGGTTTATCCTTCCTGTATTGCTATTTTATAATACACACACACACACACACACACACACACACACACATGCGCGCATGTGCCTATCTGTTACTTATATATCTTTCTACCTATCTAATGCATAAATATCATCTCATTTCCCTTTCTTACACAAAAGGTAGTATACTACATATACTTAGGTGATTTTTTTCCAAATTATTGTGTATCCTGGAAATCACTTCATATCAATTGAGGTCTTTCTTAATCTTTTTTATTTTTATTGTGACTAGTATTCCATGTGTGAATTCATCGTAATTTATTCTACCAGTTTCCTGTGATTGAACATTTGGGTTGTTGCCAATACTTTGCTGTTACAAATAATGTTTCAGTGAATAACCTTGTGCATATGTTGTTAGTTTTTTCCCTCACATTCGAGCAAGTGTATCTTCAGGTTAATTCCCACAAGTGGGAATTGCTGCTGTGCCAAGGATAAACACATGTGTAATTTTGTTAGATAAAGCCAACTTCCCTGCATAGAGACTGTAGCATTTTGCGTTCTCATCCACAATATTTGGGAACCTGTTTTTCATAGCCCTGTATACAAAATGTGTTATCGAGCTTTTGAATTTTTTAATTCTAATAGGCGAGAAATGGTATCTCATTGAAGTTTCCATTTGTATTTATCTTATTATGAAAGAAGTTATAAAACTTGTTATATATTTGAGGGCCTTTTTTCTGTGAACTGGTTGTGTCCTTTGCTCATTTCTTAAATAGATTTTGAAAAATCTATTTAAGAAATTTTTGTATGTTAGAGCTACAAGTCCTGTGTTTATCTATGATAAATGCAACATGGAATGATAGTGGAGATGGTGCACATCCTTTTTAGGGAAATTTTTGAGACAGATAAACATAGCCAATATTTTGTCCCCATCTACCATTTGTCATTTGACTTTGTTTATGGTGTTTTAAGTCATTCAGAGGTTGTTGTTTTTTTGTTAATGTACTTGAGTGTATCAGTCTTTTATTGTATCTGGAACTTGAGTCATAACTTATCCATAGCTTACTAAAAAACTTCACCAGTTCTCTTCCAGTCCTTGTGTGGTATCTTAGTCAGTGTGTGCTGCTAGAACAAAATACCTGAGACTGGGTAATTTATAAAGAACAAAAAGTTTATTTCTTACAGTTCTGGAGGCTGAGAGTCCAAGATCAAGGTCCCAGCAGTCTTGGTGTCTGATAAGGGGCCCTATCTCTCCTTCCATGATGGCACTGTGTTGGTGCATCCTCCAAAGGGGAGATGTGCTGTATCCTCACATGGTGGAAGAAATGAAAGGGCAAGTAAGCCAAATGCTGTGCAAAGCCTCTTTTATAAAGCCTTAATCCCATTGTTAAAAGAAATGCCCTCATGGTCTAATATTCTCTTAAAGGCCTCACTTAATGCTATCACATTGGCAACACCTGAGTTTTGGAAGTGACATATTCAAACCATAGCATATTGTTTCATATTTGACATTAGATGTCTGCCCCATTTAGAGTTTGCTCTCGTCTATGATGTAAAGTAAGGGTGATTTTCCAGTTGTTCTAACATAATTTATTAAAAAGCCTGTGTTTTTGAACAATGAGAACACATGGACACAGGGAGGGGAACATCACACGCCAGGGCCTGTTGGGGGGTTGGGGGCAAGGGGAGGGAGAGCATTAGAACAAATACCTAATGCATGCAGGGCTTAAAACCTAGATGATGGGTTGATAGGTGCAGCAAACCGCTATGGCACATGTCTACCTGTGTAGCAAACCTGCACGTTCTGCACATGTATCCCAGAACTTAAAGTAAAATAAAAACAAAAAAAGCCTGTGTTTGCTCAGTGATTTGAGACACCATCTTTATCATATATTACATTTTTATATGTGCTTGTTTCTCTTTCTGAAATTGCTATAATACTTTTTTTTTTACTAATGTGTCTCTGTATGCACCTGTACCCTCTATTTTAAGTACAGAAGTTTGTATAACTTTGGTAATTGGTAAAACGTTATTCAGAATAAATTTTCCTAGCTACTTTTTTGTTTATTTTACAATATGAACCTTAGAATCAACTTATACAGCTCTAGAAATAAAACTTGTTGGATTTTTGTTAGATCACATTTAATTTATATATTCACTTGGGGAGAATTAACTTTTTTATGTTGAGTCATTCTATGTAAGAATAAAGAATTTCAGCCGGAAACACTGGCTCATGCCTGTAATCTCCAGGACTTTAGGAGAAGGTAGGAGGATTGCCTGAGCACAGGAGTTCAAGACCAGCCTGGGCAACAAAGTGAGACCCTGTCTCTCAAAAAAAATTCAAAAAATTAGCCAGGCAGGGTTGCACGTGCCTGTGGTCACACATGCCTGTAGTCCCAACGGCGGCTCAGGCAAGAGGACTGTTTGAGCCCAGGAGTTTGAGGCTGCAGTGAGCCATGATCTTGCCACTGTCCTCCATCCTGGGTGACAGAGTGAAACATCATCTCAAAACACACACACACATACACACACACACACAAACACACACACACAAGAATTTCTTTTAATTAAAATCTGCTTTTGTCCCTTTTCAGGTGTATTTAAAGTTTCCCTTGTAGATTTTTCACATTTCTTTTTAAGTTTATTCCTATTTTATATTTTTGTTGTTGTAAATGGGGTTTTTCTTCCATTATGTCTTCTAACTGGTTATTGTTTGTATATATGAGATTATTGATTTTCATATAATAAAATTGTATCCTTACCAAATTTATGTATATGTTCATTTTATTACTGACTATCTCAGGTTTCCCAAGAATATTATCTCATCAGTAGCAAATAGACATAGTTTTATTCCTTTATTTTTCCCCATTCTTGTGCCCCTGTTTGTTTTGTCTTATCTGAATACAATGTCCAACACTCCCAATTCAACATGAAATAATAGTGGAGATAGTAAACATCCTTCTTGGGGCAATTTTTCAGACAGATAAATGTAGTAGTGTTTCATTTTCCATAGTATAGTAAGTGCAACCTGCTAGGGCAATAGACAACTGTCCCCAGGCAGAAAACCTGTTTTATTTGTGATACTCCAAAGGGTGCATTTCTGTAGAGTTAACTTTAAGATCCAATTTTCTTTTAATGCAGAGATCAAGGAAACTTTCTGATATTACCTCAAAAAAGTCTTGAAGAAATTCTTTTGAATTATATGTAGCAAATGGCTGTCTTCTCTCTGTGTTGATGGGGTGGTCTAATAAAAGCCACAGAAGTCCTGGAAATAGGAAGAGGATATGTCTTTGTGAGATCAAGTCTCAGGGCAAAAGCCAGGTTCCAGTCACTGGCAGGATAATGGAAAACTAAATTCATCTGTGTTTTTATGATTGTAAAAAACATGCATTAGGTATTTGTTCTAATGTAGTACTTTCTTAAATGTGTATGTGATTAGAAATTCTTTGGTGTAGAAAATCTTGAAAAAATTTTTAGTGACAGGGCAGCAGAGAATATAGTTATTATAGTATGTTCTGGCCAAATTCATGTAATAGCAAAACTGTCATCTCAATTTCAAGTTGCTTCTGCATACAAGTGAATTTAATAATAACATATGGGGGTCTTTTTAATCACAGATGCCCCAGGATAATTATTAAAAGATTTTTCTGAAAATTGTATTTAGTAAGACTTAATCCTTGGAAGTAGTTTGGGAAAAAAGTTATGCTACACTAAGGTAGCACATTATCTGAAGTAGTAACCAAATTTACAGTAAAAAAAATTATTGCTATAAGAAGTTATCAATCCTTATACATATAAAGCAAGTCAGAGAAGCCTCACAATGTATCAATGTGAGGAGAAAAATGCTAACTAAAAAAAATTAGTGTTTTTCTTATGGACATACTTATATAAAAAAGTATTTTTTCCAAGCAAAGTGGCCAATAATAAACAAAATTCTGCATAAATCAAAGGTAGAAAAAAAAGTCCTTGAATGATAATGTTTTAATCAAAATTTCCTGAATTCCCCATTAACCTACTTATTTTGATGGCATATAAATGGAGTTCTATACACAAGGGAAAGTCAATATTTTGACAAAGAAAACTCCAAAAAGAGAATGGGCTAAAGTAAGTTATTTCTTGTTGCAAGTAAAAAATCACCTTTAGTGGTGACTACAATTGTATTTATATTTGCTATGTTAAAATAAGTTTTTGTTCAACAGTATCTGACTTTTTGAGGCAAAGGACTTCTGTATTGTGCTTTTATTTGAAACTTGTGTTATCCATATAAGTGCCTTAGTACTTCACTTTTTACATGTCAACACAGCTATTAAACATATATATGTTACCTACCATGTGCCATGATGGTGGATAGACAGTAAGTGGTCCTTATTTTCAAGGAGCTCACAGATAGTTGGCAGAGACAGAAAGGAAAACTGATTACTGCATCTAGAGATTAAAAGGAAAGGCACAGCGATATCAGAAAGAAGGCAAGATCAATCCTGCAGGGGTCATCAGGGAAAATTGCACAGTCACAGAGACCTGCACAGCAGAAGAAGGGTCAAGAGAAGTACAGGCAGGGTATAGAAAAAAGAATAATTCGTTAAAAAATCATGTGTTTGGGAAATAGCAAGACATCTGGAATGGTGGCAACTCTTTGTTCAATGTCTGTTTTCCCAGATAGATTCCAAGGTCTGTAAAGCTAAGAACTATGTCTTTCTCATTCAGCATTATATTCCTTTCCAGTGTCTAGCATAGTATCCAGCACTTTTAAGAAACTCAGTGACTATATTCATGTTTTTCTACCCATGCTTCTTAATATTTTTATTAATCATAGAATACTTAATACATATAAAAGTTTATAGTATAATAGATACCCATATACCCACCACCCATATTAAGAAACAAAATATTACCAATCTACTTAAGGCCTGTTATGAACACGCCCACTTCTCCCCAACCAATAACTACTACTGTGAATTTTATATTTAATAATTTTTGGCTAAATTTTGTATTTAGCAATTTAGTTAATATATTTGTGGAAATATTTAAACTTGATATAACTATTATCATGATGTATATTTTTTCCTTGATTTTGTTTCTTTCCTTAACATTATGAGATTCGTCCATGTTGACCCTTGTATTAATTTTCATTGCTACATAGTAGTCTGTTGTGATTATACACAATTTTTCTTTATCAGTTTTGCTTATGATGGGTGTTTATTTCCAATAGTTTGTTCTTACAAACAATGATGCTATACATGTTCTTGTACATGTCTGTTGTATATGTAATAGAGTTTCTGTTCTAGGTATACACTTGGAAGCAGATTTGTTGATTAGTATTGCTCAGCTTTCTCACCAGTACTTGGAATTGCAGCCCTCCTCTATTTTCCCTGATTGGATATATGTGAATGGTATCTTATTATTTTATTTTGAATTTCCCTAATTATTTTTGAAGTTTTCATTTTATGTTTACTGGCCATTTAGATTTGCCTTCTGTGAGTTTCTGGTTCATCTCCTTTGACAATTTTACTTATATGCAATTCACCTTTTTAAATTGATTGAGATCAACTTTATTGATTCAGTTATCATTAATATGTGTTGTAAATATAATCCCTTTTTACTTTGATAAAAGATACAAATGTCAAATCTAATTAATCTTTCTTCTTTTGGGTTTGTGTCTTTTAAGTCTTATCTAAGAAATCCTTTTCTGGGCCAGGCGCGGTGCCTCACACCTGTAAACCCAGGCCTTTGGGAGGCCGAGGTGGGCGGATCACCTGAGGTCAGGAGTTCACAGACTGGCCAACATAGTGAAACCTGTCTCTACTAAAAATACAAAAAATTAGCTGGATGTGGTGGTGGGTGCCTGTAATCCCAGCTACTCGGGAGGCTGAGGCAGGAGAATCGCTTGAACCCAGCAGGTGGAGGTTGCAGTGAGCCAAAATCATGCCATTGTACTCCAGCCTGGGCAACAAGAATGAAACTCCATCTCAAAAAAAAAAAAAAAAAAAGAAAGAAAGAAATCCTTTTCTACCCAGAATTCATTTTATATATATAAATAGATATATAGATATATCGGTATTATGTTATGTTACATTATGTTAACTACATTATAACATAATATCGCATATGTTAGATTATATATTTTTAATCCATTTGAAGTTTATTTTTGTATGTGATATGGAATAGGGATCTGAAATCTGATTTTATTTTTCAAAAGTTGATAATTTCCTAAATAGCTCATTTTTTTTGAATAATTCATCATTACTTTATCCACAATGGCATCTTCATCATATATTAACATATATGAGTACCTTTCTTCATTTATCCTGTTCCACTGTTTTGTCTGTCCCTATACCAATTCCATACTTCCTTAATTATTTTTGTTTTATAAACTAAAAGAACCTCAATCAAATTAAGGCTCAATTTTTTTTTGGCAAGACTATCTTGTATGTGGTATTTTGCACTTCTACCAGGACATATATAACATCTGATTTCTCTCTTTTTTATGGTTTCTGTATTGGTAGATTACTTCCTTTTTCTTTCTCCTCCCTTTGTTTTCAAATTGCCTTTATAATCTTGGGCTTATTTTTCTTCCACATAAATTTTAAAACTGGGTTTTTACTATCGATAAATCTGAATATTTCTATCTTATTTTTCATTTCCCTGAAATTTTACCTTCTTTCATCTTTTCAGACTATTTATGATTGATTGAGTCTTTTAAAAAATAAAATAATTGGGCTTGAATTACATGGGGCCCCTTTGACTATTCTTTTATCTATTTTTGTTTTTTTTATTTATACATAACAGTTATACAATTTTCTGCTTACATGTCATAATTTGACATATTCATATAATCAAATCAGGGCAATTGGGATATCTGTCACCTTAAATATTTATCTTTTCTTTATGCTAGGAACATTCAAATTCTTCTCCTTTAGCCATTTTGAAATGTAACTGTGAAATAGAACCCTTATTTGAATTTTTTTTAAGTTAAAGGAATTAAGTTGTCAGGGAAATGGGAACATTTATTGAATATCTTTTATTGAAGATTCACTTTTAATTTTTAAAAATGTAATGATGGCATTGAGGTTGTCCTAAAAGAAGACCATTTCAAAATAATCTGTGACCTGGTGGTGGTAGAGATGGGATTGTTTAGGAGGAAATAAGTAAAGATCTAGATAAAGAATAATTGGTCATATATTGGTAATTGCTGAAGCTGGGCCATTGGTGATCATTACCTAGACCCAGGCATTCATCAGGAGTTTTTAAAAGTGATGATAGGTCAATTTGGACAACTTCTTGTACATTTATTTCCTGGAATAGGTATACAAAGAGAAACTCTCACAATAATTATTTTCATAGTCTGAAGCCTCAGGAACACTTTTAGGAAATAAAGAACTTATTCTTCTTTCTTTTTAAATTTATTTTCAAAATATTGAGATAGTTTCTAGACCCTGCAAAGGCTGTAGCCAATGAGTTTATTTATTTCTATAAATCATAAATAATTAGTATCAAATCAAACTTCTGGATTTATATTTATCTGATATGTTTTAATGCATTGCAGTTGTTATCCTTATTGAGGCATGACATTTCCCATCTTTGGCCAGAGCAGCTTAATCAAATGACTTTATGAGCCCCTGAGTAGAGTTTCTGAGAGCTTCCTTACTTTCTGGTATGAAGATGTTCCTGGATTATCCTGTACTTTTCCTGCCCCAGAGGTGTAATCTGCCATATTTCTGATGGGGGTTCATCTTTTTATTTCATTTATTCTCTACTTTGGTGGAATATATATGTTTTATTTCCATTTTTTAACTGACTTCCCAGAAAATTTTAACATATTTGGTTTACCCAAAACATATAGTCTTATCTTTGTAAATAATAGAAAGATATTAAAAGTTTAACCATGAACAATCCTCTATTAGCTTGCTAGGGCTGCCATAACAAAGTAATATAAGCAGGGTGGCCTAAACAATAGAAATAGGTTGATTCACAGTTCTGAAGGTTAGGAGTCCAAAACCAAGGTCAGCAGGGTTGGTTCATTCTGAGAGTTGTAAGAAAGTATCTGATCCAGGCCTCTCCCTAGCTTCTGGATTGCTGGCAGTCTTTGGCATTCTTTGGCTTGTAGAATCATCGCCTGTGTCTCTGCCTTCATTGTCACATGATGTCCTCCCTACATGTGTGTATCTTCTCCTTGGGTCCAAATTCCCCCCATTTGGCTGGGTATGGTGGCTCACACCTGTAATCCCTATATCACTTTGGGAGGCCGAGGAGGGCAAATCGTTTGAGGCCTGGAGTTCAAGACCAGCCTGGGCAACATACGGAGAACCCCTACAAAAAAATGCAAAAAATAGCCAGGGATGGTGGCTCACACCTGTAGTCCCAGCTACTCAGGAGGCTGAGGTGAGAGAATCACTTGAGCCAGGGAAGTGGAGGTTGCAGTGAGCAGAGATCGCACCACTGTACTCCAGGTGGGGGACATAGGGAGACCTTGACTCGAAACAACAACAACAAAAAACAATTCCCCCTATTTTGTAAGAGCATCCGTGATATTAAATTAGGATCCACCCTAACGATCTTCATTTTAAATTGATTACCTCAGTAAAGACTCTATCTCCAAATAAAGTGTCATTCTGAGGTACAACAGGGGTTAGGACTCCAATTTTTGGAGAGGGTCACAATTCAACCCATAACTACTCTTCCATTTTAAAAGTTATCATTATACAATAATTTTTCCACATTTTACCACGTAATAAATATTACTTTTTTATAATTGATTTATATTTACCCTCATATTTACCCATTTTTTCACATAGGATTTTTTTCTTGAATTTTAAACCTTCTGTCTTGGATTGTTCTACTTTTGCCTTAAGTACTATATCCTTTTGAAATTCCTTTAGTGAAGTCAGTGAGAGATTAACTCCCCCAATTTGTGTTTGCCTGAAAATCTGTATTTTCATTCTTGAGAGATAGTTTAACTAGGTTTACAGTTTTAGATTAACTTTTATTTTCTCCCAGCACACTAAAGATGTTTTCCGGGTTATCATTTTTGCTGCTGTGACATCACTCTAAGTTGCATTCCTTTGAAAGTACATTGTCTGTTTTAACCAGATGCTTTTAATCTTCTCTTGTCGCTGTGATTTTCACTTTAATTACAATGTGACTGAGTTAAGGTTGGTTTTTATTTATTCTGTTTAGGATTTTTGTGTTTCCTAAATCTAAGAATCTTTGTCTTTCCTCAGTTGTGAAAAATTATCATCTGATATTTTAAAAATATTTTCTTTCCTTCTTCTATTTTTTTATTCTGGAACTCCAATTACATTTATGGCAGACCTTTTCATTGTGTTTTCCCTATCTCTTAACCTGTCCTTTATATTTTCTTAATCTCTCTATGTTAAATTCTGCATAATTCTTCAGGTATAGTTTATTAATTTCTCTTCTGTTGTGTTTGATATGATTTTAACCCACTCCTGATCTTTAATTTAAATAAATATATTTTTATTTCTGTAAACTCTATGTAGTTCTCTTCCAAGCCTATGTAATTTAAAAATGTACTCTTAGTCTTTTGTCATGTTTAAAATATATTTTTTTAATCTAGAGGAACATACTAAGCACATTTATTTTATAATATTCATAGATAATATCAACATTTCAGGTCCTGTGTGGTTCCTCTAATTCATGGTTTATTGTTTTTGTTGACTCTGCTCACTGTGATCTGTTTCCTTGTATGTGTGAGCTTTTATTTTGCTGAACTTAATTTGAAGAAAACGTAAGAATGCTTTTCTCCCCACGGATATGAGTTTTCTCTGGTAGGTGCTCTACCAACCTGCTGTGCTACCCACCTGGAAGCATATAAATTAAATTGTCAGTATATCCTTGCTGGAACTCTGCAGGTGTTTTAAGTTCAAATCCTGAACTTACGTTCCAATAAGCTTGTAATTCTGAATTCTCAAGGGATACTTTCCCCACCTGAAGCCAAGGACTATGATTTTAAAAGTTTGCTTTTGGTTTTCTTCTAGTTCGACTTATCACCACAAGCCTAGCCCCATAAGTATACTAGTCTTATGCATGAGTTTTAGGTCTTTGCCCATCTTACTAGATAAAAGGGCTTATCTCCTATTCCTTTATGAGGCTGTCAAAAGCCTGGCCTCTGTTTCTGGTATTGTCAGACACCTCCAGGGAAGTCAGGGCTTTAGTGCTAGCTTATCACTCAGTTTCATTTTTCCTTTTGTTTTGAAGATATTCCTCTCATAATTTCTAGATGCTTTTGGTGGAAGAATGTTTACAATGTCTAGTCCAACAGAAGTAGATATTTCTCTACATCTCTAAATAAAAAATTTACCACCTCCATTCTAGCAAGGCTATTTCAATCAATGTTAAAATGTTCAAAGACTAAATCTAAATTATATATTTAAAAGCATAAAAATAACCTTTAAAGTGAAATCTGGATTAATGTGGAGGTAATATCAAGAAAGTAAAAAGAAGGAATGCCAAGATTATTAAAACTAGTACCAACATTTTACTTAATAAGCTGTCTATCCTCCTAGCCATTATTGTCCCAATGGTAGATGAATTACAGTTATGATGCAAATTTTGAAACTTATCTGGAGATGCATCAGTCAAACATTTGACATTGATCAAACAGAATTCATTCAGTGAAATTTTAAAAATAACATTTTAACTACACGATGTAACTTTAATTTCTTCATCTCTTAACTTCAATATATTTAGTAGTCTGAAAGTTAAAGCATCTAGTAAAAACTCTGCAGCTTAAGTGCAAATATATATTTACACAAAGAGCCTTTTGGAATTAAGCTGGGAAGGTAATTTAGACAAAACTTAATCTGTTAACTGACCTTCAGTAAAATTAGTAAAACCAAATTCATTCTATTGTTAGAGATTTCTACAATTTCTCTTATAACCTAACCTAACACAGAAAAATAGTATTTTGTCTCAAAATCTATCTTCTTACTTAGTCTAATTTAATTAATTTTCATGTTCAATGGATGATCACAATGTGTGGTATTTCTCTTTAGTATAAAAATGCTATTCTAGATTTCTCATGTTTTGCTAATTTCATATAGTTCAAATTAAGCTGGTAATAATTACCAAGGGGTATGCAATCTCTAATAACTGTAAAATCTTCTTAAGCTTTTTCCTATTGGCATTAGCATAGTGTTTACCTTGGCAATGGAAGAGAAGCCAAAGGACATAAAGCACCAGGTAGCATTTCTAATATCCCTGGCAAAGATTTCTGGCAGAAGCAGCATCCAAAAAAGTGCATTAGCTCTAGCTTTATACAGTCTCTTACAAGAAGGGGGAAAGGAGGTAAATGTGCAGTTGGCAACTTAAGAATTGCTGAGCTATGGGTCAAATTTTGCTCCACTGAATAAACAATAAAATTCCATCAAACTCAGCTTAATATTGCATGGTCAATAGTGACCTTCATCAGTGTAGGTTTAACTGGATTGGTGCATACAGATGAAGAATCATCTTTTTAAACTGTAAATCATATGCAGTGGCCCTGCTTAAAACCCTTGAAGCAATTATATTGCTCTCAGAATAAAATTCAAATTTCTTATCAAGGCCCATAAGACCTTACCAGATTTGGCCCCTATCTTTCTCTCTAACATCATTATACAACACTCCCTCCTGTCTCTCTAGATTCAGGCCACATTGACCTCCTTTCTGCTGCTAAAATATGCCAAGTTCTTTATCCAACCAAGGAAATTCAACAAAGAAAATATCGTCTCTAAATTGTGCTAGAACAACTGGATATTTTTACTTAAAAATTAACTTTGATCCATGTATCACATTTATAAATAAAAATTAACTTGAAATTGATTATAGGCATAAACTTAAAAATTAAAATCATAAAACTTCTAAAAAACCATGGAAGAAAATCTTTGTGATCTGGGTCAGGCAAATCTTTCTTAAAGACACAATAAATAAGATCTCTAAGAGAAAAGAAACTGACAAAATAGGTTTCATCAAAATTGAAAACTTTTTATTTTTAGAGATGGGTGAGGGAAGCAAAAAAGCAAGTCATAAATTAGGAGAAAATATTTGCAAAATACATATTTGACAAAGGGCATGTGTCCAAAATATGAAACGAACTCTTAGAACTCAAGAAGAAGACAAACAACCTATTAATGAGAAGACAATAAAAGATTTGAATGAAAACTTCACAAAAGAAGATAAACAAATGGAGAATACGCACATGAAAAGACTCCTAACATCACAAGTCATCAAGGAAATGAAATAAAAATCAAAATATGATAACATTACATACCCACTAGCATGGCTAAAAATTAAAATACTGACAATGTCAAGCGTTCACGATGATGTGGTGCAATGATGACACTCATACATTGCTGATAGGAATGCAAAATGGTGCAGCCACTTTGGAAGTTACTATGGCAGTGTCATATAAACATATCCACCAATCCTACTTTTAGGCATTTATCCAGGAGAAACACTGTGTCCACATGAAAACTTGCACATGAAGCATTATCCACTACTGTCACAATCTGAAAACAAGCCAAATGTTCACCAACATGTAAACAGGTAAATTGTGATATATCCAGATGAAGGAATATTACTCAGTAATAACAAGGAACTCAGTATACACAACAACCTGGGTGGATCTCAAAAGCATTATGTTAAGGGAAAGAAAACAAACACAAAAAAACTACACACCATTTGATTTCATTACATGAAATTCTAGAAAAGATAAAAGCATAGTGAGAGAAAGCAGATTGGTTGTTGCCTGGGTCTAGAAGTTGGGGCAGAAGATCAACTGCAAAGAGGCACAAGAAAACTTTTTAGGGTGAAGGAACTGTTTTATGTCTTGAATCCAATTACCAGAATTCATCAAACTGTGTATAATTACCAACATTCATCAAATATACACTTTAACTAGGTGACTTTTCTGTTATAATAAAGTAAAAAAATTAGCAGTAACCACAACAGTGTTGAAAAACAGACTAACAAGGTTTGATGGGAGAACAATATGTTATCAGTAGCATTGTATAGAATTGCGTGGTGTATACCATTGTATACCATTGGGTGGTGATGACAGAAAAACGACTTTGACTTTTAGTCATCCTTAAAGGAGAATGGGAATGAGGTATGGAAATAAAAACAAGATTTAGTCTGCATGATGACTGGGCCCCACAACTCCTCCCACACTGCTTCCAAAATACTTGTAGTCTCCGTGTTCCCCCAGGCATTTGAAGGGTTATTTTCTAGCAAAATAAATTAACCCCAGAGAAAAGTTCTTCAAATACGAATAGTGGTGGTCACCCAGTGGGTAGGTGGCTCACATCTAATCCCCTTAGAAAAAAAAATTCCTGCAAAGGGAAACACCACCCCTGCATACAGCTTCATCGTGCCTCACTCACAACCACTCATAGACAGTCTGGAATCAACAACATGATGTAATGAGAACAAGAAAAACATACAAAGAACAGAGAGATCAGGTATGGAACAGCAGGAAAATTTATGACTTATTATTAATATCTAATAAAGAACAAGAAAGATATTGCATCCAATCAATGCATAAATATTTGAAGCATAAATATATAACAAGTGAGACAACCGCTTGGCAGGAATAATTTCATTAATTCATTCTACAAAACATTTTGGGGACTCACTGCTGTTTTACATTGCGCTGGGCTTCATATTGTTGAATTAGATGGAATTTAAGTAATTCCAAGTAGTTAATTAGCTAATTTAATAGATTAATTTAAGTAGTGGAAAAATAGTAAAGTGTGCTTCACAAGACCATGTTTTGTGTTCTCACTAATAATTTACTTTTAAAAATCATTTATCCAGCATGGACCTCTGTTTATTCATTCCTGAACTGGGCATAAAAATATCTGATCCTGGGGCATGGAACGGGCAGTGACTGGAAGGGGGCACAAGCGATCTTTTGGAATTTTGGTAACATTCTCTTTCTTGATATGTGGATGTGTTCAATTTGAGAGAATTCATCAAGTGATACGCTTATGACTTGTGCACTTTTCAGTATGCATGTTGTACTTCAACAAAAAGGTTACTTCCAAACTTAGATGAGTTGTAAGGCCTCTTTCCAACCTGAATTAATTTATGATTCTATTACTGTTTTAAGTAAAGGATTATAGTAGAAAAAAGAAATCTGGACAGGAAATTTTAAAGCATGATTCTAGACCCAGTTTTTCACCAACTAGCTGTGACCTTTCACCAAACACCCAGTCCTTGAGGGACCACTTTTCTCACGTATACATTGAGGGGCTGAATCGATTTAGATTTTCTCTAACATCCCTCATGCTGGAAACATCTGTGATAATTGTTATAAACATTTAACCGCAACCAGTGGTTTAGCAAAGCATTGTCAAGTTGACTTGTTCGCAGCCCTTCTATTGTAAACACATAAGCATCAAATGAGACATTTTTGGTTTGTAAATTATACTAATGACAAGCATGACTTATTCTCATAATTGAGTTCTAGATCCTACCTGAAATCTTTCTACTATTAATTTGCTTAGGGAGCCATTCTCTCAGTAATAAAAATTGGGGATTAAGTAGTTTTACTGTACTCTGTAAATGCATTTTCGTGGGCATGCCTCAAAAGGCTTTTCTTCTCTCCTGCTTTGCTTTTACAGTCCTTCCCACACTATCCATTTCTTCCCCCTCAGAGAAAGAGCCTGACCCTCTAGCTTTATTCCTCTCTTGAAAAGCTCATAAAGCTTTTTAATTTAAAAATCATTGCTCTTTGGATCTGCCTATAAATCTTTATTTGAAACAGAGAAATAACGGGAGTTATTTTGAGGTTTTGACAAAGATTGTAAATTCTTTAATTCTTTTCTCTATAAACCATTTCATTTATAGGCCTAGTTCAGGGATTAATGGATCATCTAGCATGAGCTGTTTCTTGCCTCTGGATAAATGTTTTCCCCCAGAATTTAATAGACAGAAAGTACTTCTTAAAGCCTTAATGTTATTAACACTGTTAAAAAGATGAATTTTTCTAAAAACATTTTTATAGGAATCTCTCCCTAAGGTAGCTTCTTTGGAGACTCCCTTAGGCTTTTTTGGGGAGGGGGAGGGATTGTTATTGTTTTGTTTTTTAAAAAATAAATTATATATTTAAGATACACATCATGATGTTATGGGATGCATGTATATAGTTAAAAAGTTATTATAGTGAAGCAAATTAATATATCCATCGCCTCACATAGTTACTCATTTCTTTTTCTTTGTTTTTGTGGCAAGAGTAGCTAAAATCCACTCATTTAGCAGGAATCTCAAATACAGTACAATTTTATTACCTATAGTCCCTTGAGGCAATTTTCATGTTTGGGTCAGTTGCTGTTACATATTATTTCTGTTCTTTTACTACTTTGTTATTCTTTTGAAGAAAAGTGGGCAATCTGATGTTGGTCACTTTTTTTCTAAGCCTCTGGGAATTTGGACAATGGATCACTTTTCAAAATCATCTATCTTCGGCTTTCAGTTTTTCATCTTTCCTGTTCCCTTTAGAGACAGCATGTGGGCGCTGCTTTTCTGGGAGTTAACACTTAAGACAGTCAACCTAATGGGAAACTGTATTACATGCTTAACAAATTAGTCACTAATGTGTGCTTTCATGACATCTTGCTTTCAAATTTCATTATTTTTCCTCCTTTCTTAGAGGTCTCTGTACTAAAAAATACAAAGTCTTAAATGGCAAGAATTCACTATAAAAGATAGCTTGCCACATTATTCTTGAAGTGGGTATACATTTCTATTTTCCCTCACAAAGTTTATAGACTCAACAAAGAAATTGAAGAGACCTTGAAAAGAAATGCCCTTAAGTCACCTTAGAAAGGTAATTACCTCTCTTTTTCTTAAAAATATCCAGAAGTCTACCCAGGCCTCTGCTGGTAATGGACTGGGTTACCGCCAACTCTCAAGCAGACATAAAACCCTTCAGCATTCTCACTGTCACATTTTTCTTTCCTCTGGAAAAATCACTTTCTCTCCTCTTTGCCAAACAATATCCCTTTTGTAATTTTAAGTCCATTCTTCTCAATCCTTTCCTTTCAAAATAAGACTGACCCATAAAAAAACAATCATCTGTTTCTCGATGTGTCTAAAGATTTCTTCTCTTAGAGAGAAAGGGAGAGACCCTGAGATATGAGATCATGTTTCCTCCAGACCCTTTTCCTAAGATCGGAAACAAAAGCCTCTATGTCCCTATATCAGAATTTGCAAATCCAGTCTAAAGGGAAAGTACCGCTTACCGCGTAAGGATGTCCTGCCCTCCTTCAGATCAGCTGATCTCTAGTTAAATAATGGCAGCCACCAGAACCATGCACCCTGCACCCCATTGCCTGTTCTGTCCAGGTCACTGTGTCAAGCACTGGGAACACCAACAGGTCCAGGGGACTGTAGTCAACAAAACCATCTTGTTCACCTTACACTTATTCAGTGCTTTTATGCTTATAAGGATCTTTAGCAAACCTTATTACACGTGATTTTTACAACAACTCTCTGAGGGTGACCTGACGGGGAAATAGATTTTTCTCCCCCCGTTCATAGAAAGAGACTATGGGACTATTATAATACCACCTTTGCATTTTAGGAAACTGAAGAACTGGAATCCAGTTTCCCTTTCTCCAAGTCTTCACAACATCTACCTGCAGCCTCCAGTCTTAATCCTGACATATCCCTGGTATCATTTGGATACGGTTTGCTTACCCCTCACCAAATTTCCTGATGAAATTTATCCCCAGTGTTGGAGGTGGGACCTAATGGGAGGTATTTGTGTTATAGGGGCAGATCCTTCATGAAAAGATCAATGCCCCCTCTCTTGAGTGAGTGAGTTCTCACTCGTTTAGTTCTTGGGGAAAACATTTGTTTAAAAAAAGAGCCAGGCACCTCCTTCCCCACTCTCTTTCTTCCTCTCTCATCATGTGATCTCTGCACACACCTGTTCTTCTTTGCCTTCTGTCATGAGTGGAAGCAGCCTGAGGCCCTCACCAGATACAGATGCCCAGTCAGGATCTCTCCAGCCATCAAAATCATGAGCCAAAACAATCTTCTTTCTTTATAAATTACCCAGTGTCAAGTATTCCTTTATAGCAACTCAAAACAGACTAACACCATACCATAATAACTCCAATTGTTTGATTCTCTCCTCTCCTATAATTCTTTCATTGCAGATATGTTATATTGCCAGAGCACAAATGCCAGTTGCTTTTAAACTCAGAACCCAAATATGCTCTTTTTTTAAAAACTATTCTCATGTGTCAAGTTAATTGTACTAAATTCCTTTATCCAAGAAGGTTGAACTTAGTGATGATCCTTGTGGCAGCTTTCATTCTATCATGGTCGATAGTAGGCAAAGTCAAAAGTATATAGTTTCAGGAAAATCATCAATCAAATGGGTAAATACAAAACTATCCAGTGAGGAATAGAGCCTGCCATTACAAGTAAAGCAGAATTATAAAATACCATGGAGCGAATCTCTTAGTCTCCAACTGGCTAAGTCCCAGATATCATCTTTTTTCCTAAGCTCATCAGAAAGCAGGTTTTCAGCATGATCACTGTTTTATCTCACCACTGCTGTGAGTGAGTCTAAGAATATCATTAACAAGGAACATTGTCCCAGGACAGCTGCCACCCACATAATCCCCAGGATGGTTAATAAGTGTCTCTGTCTGCCTTGGCATTTGTCCTTGCCAATACACTATCAACAAAGCAAATGTACTTCAGGATGAGCGACCTCATCAAGGTTTGTGGAGTCATGCTGTCTGATTTTTAGAATAAATGATATCATTATTTATACCAACAAAAAAAAGTGTTTGTTGTTTGTATAGTATATGCAGGGCTCTGGGCTTGGACTGAATGATACAAGATGGCACCAGACACATATTTTTACCTGAAGGAACTGACAAGATAGTTGGGGATACAAGACTTGGATCTAAAAATTGAAAGTGCCGTTGCAATGTAGTACATTCACGTGTCACTGAATGATAGGAATACGTATTGAGAAACGCTTCATTAGGCAATTTCATCCTTGTGAGAACATCATGGTGTACTTACACAAACCTAGATGGTATAGCCTGTTCCACACCTAGGCTTTGTGGGGTAGTCTATTGCTTGCAGGCTACAAACCTGCACAGCATGTGACTGTGTGTACTGAATACTGCAGGCAATTGTAACATAATAGTAAGTATTTGTGTATCTAAACATAGAAAAAATATGTAAAAATACAGTATTATAATTTTATAAGAACACCATCACATGAGAGGTCCATCATTGATGGAAATCTCATTATGTGGTGCATAACTATACCTTTGAATCCAGGATGAGTGATGAGGAGTGAAAGCATATGGGAGCTCATAGGCTGGAACAGTTTGGAGAGTTGAAGCAGGCAGGAGAGTCCACTAAATCTGGATCTCACACACAATTTACTGGCTACGTTTACTCCTCATTCAGTCCTCAACATTATCATATGAGACAACATACTGTTATGGCCTGTGTTCCTCTTCTATTTTGCAAGTGAAAAAATTGAGGCTTGGAGGTAAGTAACTTGCCTAGTTCACACACCTGGTGTTCAGGCAGTCTGACACTGGAACACTAGCTCTTAACCACGTTGTAGATGAGGAAACCACCACCCTTCTCTGAACATTAAGATGATTGGGAAAGAGACCCATACAAAAGCTCAGAGAGAAAGATCACTGTAGCCAATGGACTCTGCTAACTGGAATTTATGATGAAATGCTGCAGAAGCTATCCAGGACGGTGGCTGGCTTTGCCACTTCAACTCCAGTTAGCAAGGATGACTAAAGAAACACAGCACCAGGAAAGGAACACCAACAAGTTGAGCAGGCAACATCCTCCAGGACACCAGAGTTTATGGAGAGAACTCTGGATAACAGACCTGGCAGACAAATATTTTAATATACACTGGGGTATAATATACACTGGGGTAACCAACCCCCAGAGTACAGCAGGCACTGTGGGGTGGGTCAGTGGCAGCTCCCAGAAGGAAGGTTAGTCACAAAAAGAACTAATATCCAGAAGTCATGGCATGACCTTTTTAACATTAAGTTAAACAAGGTACACCAACCTGCCACTGGCAGGAAAGGGTGCTGAATTTGTCATCAGAGTCAGATGTACTCTGGAAAGAGGAAAACCAAAGTCCAGTGGTAAGGTCCAAAGACAGAGACCAAGTAGCAGCAAAATTGACTTGATTCCAAGTCATATCTTTCCTGGCAAGAGCCTTGACATCTCTTTTCTCTGGGCCAGAATTGAGCAAAAGGCCCAAGATGAGATTGATTGAACCTATACTTAAGAATCAAAGATCCCTAGTTGTGGTTTAATAGGCCTTCAGAAGACGGGAACTAAGCAGCACCTATAATAATTTCTATTTTCTTTTAGCAAACATTTATTGAGTATCTACTATGTACCAGGCACACCTATAAGCGAAGGACTATGGTAGTGAGAAAGACAGACAGGTCTCTGTTCCCTTGGCACTTATATTCCAGAGGGAGCATAATTAAATAAATTAAGATGAGGCAAAAAAATGTTTTAAAAAAAGGTTTTTGCAAAGTCACAGAGGCAGTAAATGTCATGGGTTGTTTGAAAGAGAAATAACTAGTCTGGTTGCAGCAAAAAGTTTATGGAAGGAATCTAGGGAATTCATCCATGCACTGTATCCAGAATCACCAAAATGGTGCATGTTGGAGCTCAGTGAGTGGGCAGACCACCTGCCCAGTCCCTCCTGCCTGCAGAGGAGAACTCTAGGCTCAGAAAATGGGGGTGAATAGAAGCATGAAATGCAGATCTTAGTGAATGTAGGCCCTATTGCCTTTTATTTGGTGAGCACTCTGCAAATTATTAGTCCATGGATTTGGAGTGGCTTAAAGAAATGCAATGGTCATGGGAGCTGGATCCAGGCCCTCCTCTTTTACCCTTATCCATGACCTTGGGCAAACTCCTGAACTTCACCCAAAGCCTGGAGGCTGATGTTCCCAAAAGCCCCTTCCAATTCTGAAATCCTTTAATGCTTTAAATGATCTTAGCCTAGTGTATTATTCCATTTTCATACTGCTATAAACAACTGCCCAAGACTGGGTAATTTAAAAAGGAAAGATGTTTAATTGGCTCACAGTTCAGCATGGCTGGGGAGGCCTCAGGAAACTTACAATCATGGTGGAAGGTGACGGGGAAGCAAGGCACCTTCTTCACAAGGCGGCAGGAAGGAGAAGTGCCTAGCAAAGGGACACAAGTTCCTTGTGAAACCATCAGATGGCGTGAGAACTCACTCACGATCATGAGAACAGCATGGGAGAAACCATCCCCGTGGTTCAATCATCTCCACCTGGTCTCTCCCTTGACACGTGGGGATTACGGGGAATATGGGGATTATAATTCAAGATGAGGTTTGGGTGGGGACCTAAAGCCTAACCACATCACCCAGTTATCAGTGATGACTATTCAGAGGCATCAGCATGAGATGAGGAACAAGGGAGGCAACAGGCAAGCCGGCAGCAGGATTCAGGTTCTGGTCCTGATCACGGGCCCTGCTGGGGTCTTGAACAAATTACATAATCCCTCAATGTCCTCATCTATGAAGTGTGGGGTTGCACTAGTCCATCGCCAAGCCATCTCTCAGCTCTAGTCTTCTTTGAGCCTAGATTCTTAGCTCACTTTGACAGTGAAAAAAGACAAACACACAACTTTTTTTAAAAAGATACCAGCTCTCAATGAAAAATCTTAAAAACAAATAGCATTAATTGCCTGCTCCTTTACACCTCATCTCCTCCACTATACTTTGTAATTTTATGGAGTCAGTGGTATAAAATTTCAGTTTCAATGTTTGCTTTCAATGCTCATGCAGCATTTAAATAAATGCATTTTTAAGTAAAATGGAAAGGAGAATAGAGGGTCTAGAAAGAAGACAAAAGTCAATAAATTATTAAATCTATTTTTTTACAAATTAAATTGCATTGCATTGTGTACACAGGATTCTAATACAACCAAGCCCCCTCAGGCGGTTCACCCACATGGCTCTATAAATGCCATTAGCACTCTCCACAAGCTTTATAGCGCATAATGAATGTGCTTGTTCTAACAATACCATCAACTGTTTCTGAACCAAAGGCTGTCAAGATTTCCATTTCCTTTATTCTAGGTGGAAAAAAAAAACCCAACTCTAAGGGAGACTTGTAATCAGAGAGAAAAGTGACAGAATATTGGCTAATTTGCTTCCCTAAGGCCTCTTGGAAGTCCTTGCCTAGGGTCTTACTGTTTTATTATCCCAGTTTTTCTTATCACAGCTAAAATAATGGCGACAATTCAAGTTAAATCTTGCCGCTATAAAAATATTTTTTGTTTGCTTCAGGAAAAAGGACCCAAGTGTACAAACAAAAGTCAGAAAATATAATATGCACATTTCCATATTCATTCATGACTGTCATCTCTTAGCATTGCACTTAAATTACTGCAATGCAACTTTTAGAATGCACAAATAATAGTAGCTAGTGTATATTGAGCACTGACTCTGTGCCAGGCACTGTGCTAAATGATTTATATGTAGTGTCTCATCCAATCTTCCCAAAAACCAAATCTTGGAAGGCGTCAAATGCGTTGTCCTCTCAAAGCCAGCCCTGCCTCCTGGTTTTGCTATTTCAGTACCATGGTCCCATCACTCCACCTGCTATGTAGGCCTGGGAGTGCAGTTATTCTTATCAAAAGAGATTCAGAGACTCACCCTTTTGTGCAATGTCTGCCACACATGTTTTTTCACTTCCTTTCACTTGTTCACCTCATCTCTTCCTTCCCCACTGACCTCCTCTTTTCTTTATCAAAATGCTGCTGGTGCAGAAATGTCTAGCTTAAATCTCCCTCCTCACTGCCCACTTTCTCTCTACTTTCTGTCCCTGCCCCTTCCACATTCACACACCTACACACCTGTTTTCTAATTAACCTGGTCCTGGGTAATCTTGTCCAGCAATAAAGCCCACCCCCTCCCACAGCAAGGATTGACTTGGTTATGCAGTTGGCATTTTTACTTATGCTTACTGCTGGCTATCTCCTCAAATCCTTAAATCTTGTCTTTCCAAATAAAGTGCGATTCCTTGAGGGTAGGACCGTCTCTTCTGCAGCCACTAGCCTAGGGGCCCAGAAAAAGAAAATCAGGAATAGCTAAATAAGTCATGTATGTGGGATATAATAAACTAAGCAGTATTAATCATATTAACAATATATAGTGTTTACTAGGGGGTCAGACACTGTTCTAAGCACTTCAGATATATTAACAACTGTTAAATGTAGCTAGTGTTACATACGTGTGTTTCACTAATGAGAAAACAAAGTCACAGAAAGCTAGGTGACTTTCCCAAGGACACAAAGCTCGTAGATAGTTGGGTGAAGACTTGAACCAGGCTATCTGATTTCAACATCTATTCTTCTTGAACAACCAAAAAAAGAGTACTGGGGCTGTCTCCCTTAATCATCTTTTCTCCCTCAAATTTTCTATTTTCTATAGAAAAGAGAAATACATTTCTATTTTCTATAGAAAACAGAAATACATTTCTATTTTCTATAGAAAACAGAAATACATTTTCTATTCCCTTTCATTAGAGTTTCAATATCTGAAAAAAAAAAAAAGAAAACACTTAGTTGCCCAGATAACCGTAAACACACTAGGTGCCTGTCGTATACTTGTCAGCAAAATTTTAGCCCTCCATGAGTGAAAGGAGAGCTGGAATTCAAATTCATCCCCATGACTTAGGTATGTCTCCATTTGACTAATTTGCATTTATTTGGTTTGAACCCAAGAGAATGCTCAATGACCAGGCAAAAGTGGATGGCTGACCCTTAGAAGAAGCAAATCACTCCTATATGGTACTACTTCAGGCATATCAGGAAGGGAACACTACTATCAGACTTAAACTTGATTGGCCGGTGTCTGAATTTCCACCACCATAACTTCATCCTTTAGAGTAAGGTTTCAATGTTTGTTAAAAGTAAAATTCTCACAGAAAGAGAAGCACTTCAACTTGCAGCAGTCACTTCAATAAAGAGCTGAGATCATATTTCAATGAGTGGGAGTAGGAAGGAGTGCATTACTTGCCTTCTGTGTCTAGACAGGCAGCCTGGTCTGGTAAAAAGAAAGTATTAGGTATTAGCTGTGTATCAGAATAGCTGAATTCAATTTCTCACTTTGTTACTAAATTTGAAAAGCTTTGGACATCCAATTAGGCCCTCAGGACCTCAATGTCAGGTGTTGGAGGAGGATACTAGAATGATTTATAAGGCATCTTCCAGAGGTGTTGCCTACAGTGTCCCAACTGAAATACGTGCTCCCTAAGGCAGAGACCACGTATGTTTGGAGTCAACTCTAAATCCCAACACCCAGAACATAGCAGATATTCAGTGAATGTGTCTCAAAGAGTAAACGAATAATAACTTATAGCCAGGACAATGGCCTCTCCTAGAACTTTAGACCTTTATACTAACTGCTTCCCAGAAAATTTTTACCCAGATACGTCATTGTCATTTAAAACTCGAAATATCTAAGACTTGAATCACCACCTTGCTCCCAGTACCAGTTCCTTCTCCTTTTCAGTATCCTTGGCTTAAAAGGATCAACATTCCTGATATGTTGAAATTATATGGCTTGAAATGATCAACATCTCCTTTGCTTCTGTCTCTGAGCAGTCCTAAATCCCGTTAATTCCTGCTTAGAATTCCTCAGATCACCCTCTCCTTTCCGTCTCCTCTGCCAACCCTCAATCACGCTTATTACCTCTCGCTGGCATGTCTGAACCCTCCTGCCTTTCCCTCTTCTAAACAAGTCAGCCACATTTAACTTTCTGATACAATATTTTAAGAACATCATGTTTTAAATATATTCAACTATAATTTGTCAATTTCTAATTTTAAAAATAAAAATTGAAAGAGTATCATTTTTTTCCTCAGAAACCTTCAACAGCTCACCACTATCTATGTAAATGTGTGTTTGTCTTCCGTAGTCTCAGGTACAAACGTTGCATCAGCATAAGGTCCGGTCTGCAGACAGAAAACACCAGTAATTTGAGCTGGTAAAATTTAATATAAAGAATTGTTGGCTGGGCACAGTGGCTCACGCCTGTAATCCCAGCACTTTGGGAGGCCGAGATGGGTGGATCACGAGGTCAGGAGATCGAGACCATCCTGGCCAACATGGTGAACCCCGTCTCTACTAAAATACAAAAAATTAGCTTGCCTGTAGTCCCAGCTATTGGGGAGGCCGAGGCAGAGGAATCTGTTGAACCTGGGAGGCGGAGGTTGCAGTGAGCCGAGATCTTGCCACTGCATTCCAGCCTGGTGACAGAACAAGACTTTGTCTCAAAAAAAAAAAAAAAAAAATCGTTAACTAGGTAAAGATAGTTAAACACTAAAAGGTATAAAAGAAAATGCTAAGGTATTCTAAGGTAGCAACTCCAGAAAGCAGTTACTATCCCTAAGGCCAAGGGAAAGTGAATTAAGAAGGGATGTGGAAATTTAGAGGAAAGGGCCCTGCAAGACTTAGAAATACTCAGACTTCTGAGAAGGCATGGCTGCACAGAGATACACATATGACTGCTGTGAGAATGTAGAAACTTGATGGAGAGGCCACTTGGGAATCACCCAGCACTGAACTGTGGGAGCTTGTGCTGTGGTGAGCACTACAGGGATCTCCCGCACCCTTCCTCACGAGTCCACTTGCTATTGCCCAGGAACAATGCATGCTGGGCTTAATGCCTAGGTGATGGGTTGATGAGTGCAGCAAACCACCGTGGCACAAGTTTACCTATGTAACAAACCTGCGCATCCTGCACATGTACCCCAGAACTTAAAATTAAAATTAAAAAAAATTCTGCAACTTCAAATTTTGTACCAAATGGAGATTATAATTATTGATTTAAAATGAAAATGTGGGTAAGCTCCATTTGTACTTTTGCCTTAGGCCGTGGAAGTGTTAGGGGTGAGCCTGTGGAGGCACAGAGGGAGTGTTGAGGAGGAAGAGGTTAACCAGCAGGACAACATTTTGGCGGGGGTGAGTGGTGTTTTTTTTTTTGTTTGTTTTTTGTTTTTCTGAGCTCTTCTTTTGTATTATTTCTAAATAAAATACAAGAGTATTCAAGGTAAAGGGGAAAAAAGCATACTCAGTGAAACAGGCAAAGTCCTTTTTTCCTGCCATTAATACCTTGCAATCTCTTTTTATTATCTTTTACTGACAGAGTTGAGCATCAAATCAGAGAGCAAAGGAGAAGTGTCTGCAGCATTCAGCTCCACTATTACAAAGCAAGGCAAATAAGAGTGGGTTTGGAGCTGAGATGCACTGTTCTTTCCTTTGCTTTTAGAAAAAGAATATCAAAGTTCCCCACATCAGTTGGAAGTGACATTTCTTCTGAACTCCTATTTCACTTATTTTGGAGACCAACCATGTAACACTAATAGTGTGTTATTAGATATTCTAAATATTCTCACATAATGTGTTTTCCCTCATACTAGATTACAAATTCCTTAAGGACAATTGTCTTTTAAAATTTTTGTGTTAATTACAGAAATGGTATTTCAAATGTATAAAGTGAATATCCTTCTAACCATCGTCATGTCAAGACATAGAATGTGGTCAGCATCCCAGAAGTCCTCTGTGCCCTTCCCAATGACAACCCCCAACTCTGCTCCCAAGATAACCATTGGCTTCTACAATAATCACTTCTTAACTTTTCTTTATTACCCCAGTGTGCTTCCCTAAATCTTATAGCTCAGGTCTGTATTTTGTAATGTCTTTTAAATCGCTCAATTTATGCTTTCATCTCTGTCCTTTTTCCCCTATATTTTATTTGTGTAAGAAACTGGACAATTTATCCTATAGAATTTTCAACAGTTTATTGCATTCTCATGGTGTAGTATAATATGTTCCTCTGTCCTCTGTATTCTTTTGTAAATTGTGTTTTTTGTAAATCAAGAGGCACAATCAGATACAGGTTCAAAATTTTTAACAAAATTTGTTTAAAGGCTGTTTTGTTCTTTAGGGAGTACACGATATCTAATTCTCTTTTTGTGATGTCAGCAATCATTGATGTTCATTATCCAAGGGCTTTAACTCACTAGGGTTGCATACCAGTGACATTCCAATTCTATGATTCCTTGTCCATTTATTTACTGGGATACTTCTACAGAGGAAAGCTTCCCCTTTTCTACTATTTGGTTGCCTAATGTTACATTTCACCTAGAAAAAGCAAAACAAATGCCAGATTTCAAAATAAAGAGTTTGTTAAAAAAAAAAAAACAGTTACATGGAGTTTTATAATTCATTATAATCTTGTGGATTTTGCTATTGGCCTTATCGATGTTCAAACTGCCTTATCTTTAAGTTGGTTCCAACTTTTGACAAAACCTATTAGTCTTTGATAGCTTCCTTGATATCTGCTATGATGATACTCCAGGCTTATTGTACATTTTCTGTCCAGCACTGAAAGTAGCCATTTCCCCAAGATTCCCTGGTTTCTTTTAATGTGAAATAGTAATTCAAGACCAAAAACCAAGGGCTAGGGTGCTCATCTATAGTAGGCTCAATATAGTTTCCAGGCCTTTACAATGGACAGAAATACATATAACAGATTAAGCTAGGAGATATATAGAAATATATATATATACACACACACACATATACATATACACATACACACATATATAGTTATCATAATATATATACTTATATAGGGAGACAGTTATAATTTCTAGGTAATTTCAATGGGCAGACCTAGGAGGTAATTATCATAGACATAATGGACCAAGCTAGGAGAGAGAGAGAATATAACACTTTTTTTTTTTTTTTTTAGATGGAGTTTCACTCTTCTTGCCCAAGCTGGAGTGCAATGGCGAGATCTCGGCTCACTGCAACCTCCGTCTCCCAGGTTCAAGTGATTCTCCTGCCTCAGCCTCCTGAGTAGCTGGGATTACCAGCATGCGCCACCATGCTTGGCTAATTTTGTATTTTTAATAGAGACAGGGTTTCTCCATGTTGGTCAGGCTGGTTTTGAACTCTTGACCTCAGGTGATCCACCCACCTCTGCCTCCTAAAGTGCTGGGATTACAGGCATGAGCCACTGTGCCTGGCCGAATATAACACATATTCTGTAGAATAGAATAAACTAAGATAGAATGAATATCCTAGCTTGTCATTATATCTATACATTTTTATATATGTATAATGATTATGTGTATATTACTATATTGAAAATTATTTCTAATTGACATAAAAAAGCTCTTCTTCTTACTCCCACACTCAACACTTCTGGTCACCAAAATTGGTGGGGACTTTTCCCCATACAACAACCGATTCTCCAGTGGACACCAACTGAGTATCCTATAATTCAATTCAATTCTGACACAGTCTACCTGGAGTTAGAGTCAAATTCCCAGGTTAAGGGTTCAGTCCAAAGACTGCCCCCACTGCAGATGCTAATTAACATGTGGGCCTCTGAAACTTCTGACTGACTGGCTATAAATTGGAAGTAACCACTACAACCCGCTCAGGCTTGAGCATTTGCTAGAGAGGCTCATGTAACTCAGGGAAGCACTTTGTGTTTATTGGTGCATTATAAAGGATATTACAAATAATACAGATAAACAGCTAGATGGAAGAGATGCAGAGGTCAAGGTATGCAGGAAAAGGCAGGAAGCTTCTACGGCCTCTTGGGGCATGCCACCCTCCATGTCAGCAACCTGGAAGCTCCCCAAACTCCATGCTTCAGGAAAGTTTATGAAGGCTTCATTACATAGGCATGATTGATTATTAATTCAGTCTTCAGCCTCTCTCCTCTTCTGGGAGGATGAAAGGTGAGGCTAAAAGTTCCAGACTTTTAATCATGGCTTAGTCTTTCTGGTGACCAGCTCCCATTCAGGAGGCCACCAAGAGTCACCTTATTAGAACTCCTATCATCTAGGACATTCCAGAGGATTCAGGAGCTCTGTGTCAGGTGCTGCTGTCACTCAGGAAATTACAAAGGTCTTGGGAGCTCTGCGTTAGGAACCAGGTCAAAGAACAAATATTAGAACAAAAGATTCTCCTAGCACCCAGAAAATTCCAAAGGGTTACAAGTTCTGTGTCAGGAACCAGGTCAAAGACAAAATATTAGAACAAAGATGAACCTAGCTCCCTGATTACTCGGGAAATTACAAGGATTTTTGGAGCTCTGTGTCAGGAACTGGGGATAGAGATCAAATATATATATTTTTATTATGGTACAATTTCCTATTCCTTTAATAATAATTATGTATTTATCATTATAACTATTATTATTTCCTATAGAACGTACCTCTCTATCAGAACTTAGTCCTTTATATCTATTGATAATTCTATATAATTATATGCATGGTAAAATATATAAACAATAATTATATGACAATGATTATTTAATATATACAACTATATATGTAAATATCACTCATTTATTTAAAGATAAAATACCTCGTATGTTCACACTATAATTCAAATTCAGATTTCAATGTTACTTAAACTCTTCTACCTTATGTTCAAATCTCTTTTTGTCTTCAGCAAGAATCCTGGGTTGCAAGGACAATGGGGATGATTGAATGTTTTGTCCATGTCACACAAAACATTCTCAAAATAACACTATCAAAACTACTACCAGTATAATTACTGAAAAACTGTTTCAAATGTTTTTACATGATATTCTCATTCTCTCCTTGTTTTCTTTTAATTATGCTGTATCTATATTGTCAGAGCATAGAGCCATTACCACACTCTGTTCTTATGTCCTTCCTTTGTTCTTCACGTAAATATATGCTCAACGCCCACCATCCATCTTTATGTCAATATTTCTCTAGTAATTTTGGTTGTCTGAAGCTACTGTATACCCAAGGAAGGATTCACAGAAGCAGTATTTTTCAGTTCTGGCTTCCAGGTGACAGCTTGCTCCCTTTATACTTAAAAAAAAGTGTGGTTGAATATAAAATCTTGGGCTTACTGTTTCTTTCCCTTCAACATTTTAAATGTGTTACTCTGTTTTCTTCTGGTAGGAGAAATTGTTATTGAAAAGCATGATAACAATTCCTTTTTCTTTCCTTCATAAGTCACTTGGTCTATGGCTCAGATATTTGTTCTGGGTCAACTTTTCCAGGTATACAATGTGCTCCTTCAATACGTAACTTCACATTTTTTCATCTGATCAAAGTTTTGGTGCATTATAATCAGGTGCTTCTTCTAACTTGTTTTGATTTTTCATTCATGGATTCCTAATTTTTATATAGATACGTCAGATCTTCTCTGCCTGTCTTCTGAATTGATCATGTTCTTACTAACACTTTTCATCTCTTCCTTCATTTCCTTTTTCATTCCTTTCACTTTTTAATTGTGACAAAACACACATAACATAAAATTTACCATCGTAACCATTTTGAAGTGCACAGTCAGTGACATTAAGCACATTCACATTGTTGTGCAGTCAGCACCACCATCCATCTCCAGAACTCTTCGCATCTTGCAAAACTGAAATTTATACCCATCAAACAATGACTCTCCATTCCCGTCTCTCCCACCTAAGTCCCTGGCACCTTCATTTTTTTTTTTTTATATATTTAAAAATTTCCTTCTTTTCGTTTTCTATTTATTGTGAGTCATTACCAGTTGAGTCTATTTGCTCTTGTGTTATACTTCTAGTTAGACAATTTCTGAAATGAATGTTTAATTTTATGTTTAATTCTTTATTGATTTCTACCACTTTATTTCTAAGTTTTCTTTATTCTGGTTTATCTTTCAGATCTTCTTTCTGTTAGCTGTTTAAAAAATATAAATTATAGTTTTCTTTTTTTTTGTGTGAGAACATCTTTCTGGCATATCTTTATTATCTATAGAAATTCTACTCATTTTTTTCTCCCTGCCCTGTAATAAATTTGAATGTGATTTTAGCTCATTCTTTTCTGATGCTCATTTTTACACCAAATTAGATTTTCTGAAGTTTTAGAAAGGAAGCTTGGCTTGGAATCATTTTGGGTTCTTTACATTTAATGTCTCTCGACCACCCTCTTCTGGTTGTTTTTATAAAATGTCCAACGATATAAATACTTAAATTCTAAGATTTTCTGATTCTATTCTCCCTTACCACTTTTATCTGGACCTTATATTTCCTTGGTGTCTAGTGTCCCCGACCTGCTCATCTTAGATTCTCTTAACAATTTATTCTCAGTTTGGATCATAGCTTTGTCTTGGAGGAACCTTTGCTGGGTAACTTTGAGAGTGAAGGGACCTCAGAATATTCAATCTCCTTAGTCTTACCACGGACAGTTTTGGACCATGAAAGCCCCTCCTAGTTTCAGTTACTGTTTTCAATTTGGATCACTGAGTTTTCCAGATAAATGCTTGTTGGCTTCCTCGAAGTCAAGTTTGTCAGAGATCCCATTGCTTCCTCTTGGATAGATGCTGACACCAAGTAAATCTTTTAGCTATTGCTGATTGCTTTGCCCAGCTAATTTTTGTATTTTTAGTAGAGATGGGGTTTCACCATGTTGACCAGGCTGGTCTCAAACTCCTGACCTCAAGTGATCTGCCCACCTCTGCCTCCCAAAGTGCTGGGATAACAGGTGTCCTTTACAATTTTGACGCTCTTTGCTCTAACGTTACAAAGTGCCTAAAGAAAATGATACCTCTAACTTTTAAATTTGTTGCTCAAATAGTTATTAAACCTTTCCTATGTACAAGATATATTGAGCTGGAAACTAGAAAGCTCTGCTCTGAGATCTGGTGAAGTTGGCAGTGGCTTCTCCCAAATTCCCTCATAGAACACACAGAACAACTAAGATTACAAAAATAATTATGGGGCACAGACAACCTCCACAAAACTAGGGACCAGATATCCCCACAAATCCCAAATTATGAGCAACACTACACTACACTACAGCCTGGGCAACAGAGCCAGACCCTATCTCAAAAGAAAAACTTTGTAAAGGGGGCGAAGTTAATTCTTGTTATCAATCCACCAACTTTCCTGACAGCCAGCTCCTCCTTCTGTGCTTCTGGTGGGTGGCTCTCCTTTCTCTTATCTTCTCTCTTTTTTTTTTTTTTTCCTGTGAGACAGAGTCTTGCTCTGTCACCCAGACTGGAGTGCAATGGCAAAATTTCGGCTCACTGCAATCTCCTCCTCCCGGGTTCAAGCGATTCTCCTGCCTCAGCCTCCTGAGCAGCTGGGACTACAGGTGCACACCACCACACCCGGCTAATTTTTGTATTTTTAGTAGAGAAGGGGTTTCACCATGTTGGCCAGGATGGTCTTGATCTCTTGACTTCCTGATCCACCCTCTTCGTCCTCCCAAAGTACTGGGATTACAGGCATGAGCCACCACACCCAGCCCTTATCTCTTTTTTCTTTCCTCCTGAGGCATATTCCCTTCCTGCCCTCCTCGACCTATTTATACATTATACAATTTATACATTTATACATTTTGCTAATGTTTGCTTAAGATTTTTTTCTAAATTCATAAATTAGATTTTCCTTTCTCAAACTGTCCTTGGTTTGGTATAAAGATTATGCTGAAGTCTTATGATGATTTGTCAAATGTCCTCTCTTTTTCTATCCTCTGGAATAGTTTGTATAAGATTGGAATTATTCATTCTTAGAATATTTGCTGGAATATTTTGGTAAAACACTTTGTGTCTGTACATTTTGAGTATGATGATTTTTAACAAGTGAATCAATAAATTTGAGGAGAGTAAGAATATTAATATTTTCTGTTTCTTCTTGAGTCCATTTTTGTAAATTGCATTTTTCCAGGAATCTGTCCAATTCAGTTTTGCTGCTGTTTTGTTTTGCTGCTGTTTTGTTTTGTTTTGTTTTATCAAATGTATTCTTTTCAAATAATCAACTTTTGGCTTTGCTGGGCCTCTTTATTGCATGTTGGTATTCTATTTCATTAAATTCATATTCTTTATTATTTTTATCTTTCTACATTTTCTGGGTTTTTTTTTTCTTAACTTTCGAATATAGATGATTAATTTAATTTTCCTGTCTTTTCTTCTTATCTAATGCAAGTGTTTAAAGTTAAAACCTTTTCTCTGAGTACTGCCTTACCTGCCTCCAACAAGTTATAATAAAATAATTGTATTTTCTTTTAATTCTAAATATTTTCTGATTTATGATGTTTTTGACTCATAAACTACTTAGAACAGTTTCTTTCTTTTATTTTTTTAAAGAAAGTCTTGCTCTGTTACCTAGGTTGGGGTGCAGTGGCACAATCATGGCTCATTGTAGCCTTGAACTGCTGGGTTAAAGCAATCCTCCAGCCTCAATCTCCTAAGTAGCTGGGTGGGACCACAGGTGCATACCACCATGCCTGGCTAATTATTTTATTTTTTCAGAAATGGGATCTTGCTTTGTTGCCCTAGCTGATCTCAAACTCCTGGGCTCAAGTGATCCTCCTTCTTTGGCCTCCCATAATGCTGGGATTATAGGTGTGAGCCACTGTGCCCAGCCTAGAACAGTTTCTTAATTTTCAAACATACTGACTTTTTTTTCTAGTTATCTCTTTGCTATTGAATTCTAGAATGATTGTAATTTGGTCACAGAATGTAATTCCTATGGTGCCAAACCTTTGGAATTTGTTGAGACTTGCCTCATGGTCCAGTATGAATCAATTTGTATAAATGTTCCATGGGCCCTTGAAAAAAGTGAAATGTGTATTCTGCAGCTTACGTCCATTAAATTCAGCTTGTTAATTCTGGTGCTGAAATGGCCTAATCTGCATTGAGTCTTTTGTCTGCATTAAAATACTCTGAAAGAATACATAGGAGACTAGTACATTGCTTTGAGACAGGGAACCATGTGGCCATGGAGGAATGCAGAGCTCTCTCCATTCCAGATAGCATTGCATCTCCCCAGGCCTGGACCTTGCTATTAGAGGAACTGCAAAGGAGACCCCCAGACCACCTCCTGATCCTGGAAAGACTCCCAATCCCTGACACATGACACTCCCAGCTCACTACAACAGTCTGACAAAGACAGTAATCTTATGAAGGGGACTAAAATTGAAACCGACAGTATGTTTTCCCCTAAGAGAATGTCAGGAGTACACCACCCTTCCTCACACCCTTACTTATCTCAGTCAGTATGAACAGCTCAAGGTGTTGGGTCACATGCATTATTTTTTTACCTTTTTCATAAAATTCTGTACATCCGCTCATCTGACCTAATCCCACACACTGACCCATCCTAAAAACTTTCACTGCAATCTTGGGAACTGAGCCATGTATCAGCAAAATCGCCTGTATCTTCAACCTCTCCTCAAAATGCTCCTCCAACCTCTTACTTTGACTGAAACCTGCCACCTTGCTTTGTATTTAAGTGTCACAAAGTTGCTATTTGTTTTCTCACACCCCTACAGGGTCTGGAGCAGAGTGGATGTCCTCATTATTGCTTCTAGACCAGCGCTCTGGAAGTGTGGTCTACAGACCAGCAACAACCACGTCACCTGGGAGCTTGGAAATAGAGAATCTCAAGTCCCACCTGCAACCTACCGAATCAGAATATGCATTTTAACGAGACCCCCCAGTGCTTTGCATCAACACCATAATCTATTTTCAAGCAGAACACTCAAAGTAAGGAACAATCTGAAGCCCACAAAGCTACACCAGACATTGCTTCTGGTTTCTTCTATGACTGCCGCTTGTCTGTTTCTCCCACTTCCTTCCTTAGCTCCACACAGACTCTTGATGTTCCTCAAACACTCCAGCATGTTCCTGCTTCAGGAGCTTTTTATTTATAGCCTCCTCTGTCTGAGACACTTTCCCATCAGTTAACCTCACAGCCCACTCCCATACTCCATTCAGGCCTCTGCAGAACCCACTTTTCAGACAGCCCTCCTTGATTGACCTACATAAATACAGTAGCTGCCTACCTGCCCACAATTATTGCCTACTTTCTTTTTCTTCTAATAGCTTTAATATGTATATATTATTCATCTGTTTCTTTAATTCATTTTATCAATCTCTTCCTTTCTCTGTTTCTCTATCATCACACACACAACAATAAAAGGCCCACATCAGGAGAAATGTCCTCTATTTTTTTTGACTGCTGTTATCTCCAGCATGGAGAACATGTTTCCAGCATGGAAAACAATACCTGCATATTGTAAGTGCTCAATAAACTATTTCCTTACAAAGTAACAGATGAATGAGAAGCAAAGATGAAAAAAAATGCTGTCACTGTATAACCATATATACCTTCCAAATTTGAACCATGGGAACATTATTATCTGCTCAAGAAAAGATTACTTAAATGTTTATTGTTGCCGTCAGCAAAGATTTTAGTTATTTATTTTTTAATTTGTACTATTTTTATTGTTGTATTCCTATTGTTTTACTAATAACACTTTTTAAACTTTTAGCTTCATGGGTACATGTATAGTTTATTATATATGTACATTGCATGTCATGGGGGTTTGGTATACAGATTATTTCATCACCCAGGTAATAAGCACAGTACTCCTCCATAGGTAGTTTTTCACTCCTCATCCTCCTCCCAACCCCTACCCTCAAGTAGGCCTTTGTGTCTGTTGTTCCCTTCTTTGTGTCCACATATACTCAGTGTTTAGCTCCTACTTATAAGTAAGAACATGCTATTTGGTTTTCTGTTCCTGTGTTTGTTCATCCATGTTGCTGCAAAGGACCTGATCTCATTCTCATTCTCATGATCTCATTCTTTTTTACGGTTGTGTAGTAATCCATGCTATATATGTACCATATTTTCTTTATCCACTCTACTGTTGATGGGCATTTAGCTTGACTCAATGTCTTTGCTATTATGAATAGTGCTGCAGGGAACATTCACTTGCGTGTGTCTTCACGGCAGAATGATCTATATTCCTTTGGGCATATAGCCAGTAATAGGACTGCTGGGTCCAATGGTAATTCTAGTTTGAGTTCTTTGAGAAATCACCAAACTGCTTCTCACAGTGGCTGAACTAATTTACACTCCCACCAGCAGTATATGTGCATTCCCTTTTCTCCACAACCTTGCCAGCATCTGTTATTTTATGACTTTTCATTAATAGCCATTATGACTGATGTGAGCTTGTATCTCACTTTGATTTGCATTTCGCTAATGATCAGTGATGTTGAGCATTTTTTCATATGCTTGTTGACTGCATATATGTCTGCTTTTGAAAGGTCTGTTCATATCCTTTGCCCACTTTTTAATGGGGTTGTTTGTTTTTTGCCTGTGAATTTCTTTAAGTTCCTTACAGATGCTGAGTATTAGACATTTGTCAGATACATAGTTTGCAAATATTTTCTCACATTCTGTGTGTTGCCTGTTTACTTTGCTGATGGTTTCTTTTTGCTGTGCGGAAGCTCTTTAGTTTACTTAGGTACCATTTGTCAATTTTTTTGTTTTGTTGCAATTGTTTTTGGTGCCTTTGTCTTGAAATATTTTCTAGGTCTTAAGTCCAGAATGGTATTTCCTAGATTATCTTCCAGGGTTTTAATAGTTTTGGGCTTTACATTTAAGTCTTTAATCCATCTTGGGTTGACTTGTATATAGTGTAAGGAAGAGGTCCAGCTTCAATCTTCTGCATATGGCTAGCCAATTATCCCAGCACCATTTATTGAAAAGGGAATCCTTCCCCTATTGCTTGTTTTTGTTTACTTTGTTGAGATCAGAGGGTTGTAGTTGTGTGGCATTAATCCTGGGCTCTCTGTTCTGTTCCGTTGGTCTGTGTATCTGTTTTTATATCACTACCATGCTGTTTTGGTTACTGTAGTCTTGTATTGTCGTTTGAAGTCAGGTAATGTGATGCCTCAAGCTTTGTTCTTTTTGCTTAAGATTGCACTGGTTATTCAGGCTCTTTTTTCATTCAATATGAATTTTAAAATAGTTTTTTTTATAGTTCTGTGGAGAAGGTCATTGGTAGTTTGGTAGGATTAGCATTGAATCTGTAATTGCTTTGGGCTGTATGGGAATTTTAACATATCGATTCTTTCTCTCCAAGAGCATGGATTGTTTTCCATTTGTTTGTGTCATCTCTGATTTCTCGCAATTCTCATTGTAGAAATCTTTCACCTCCCTGGTTAGCTGTATTCCTAAGTATTTTATTCTTTTTGTGGCTATTGTAAATGAGATTATGTTCTTGATCTGGCTCTCAGTTTGGATGTTGTTGGTGTATAGGAATGCTACTGATTTTTGTACATTAATTTTGTATACCGAAATTTTGCTGAAGTTGTTTATCAAATTAAGGAGCTTTTGGGCTGAGACTATGGGGTTTTCTAGGTATAGAATCATATCATCTGCAAACAGGGATAGTCTGACCTTCTGTTTTCCTATTTGGTTGCATTTTGTTTCCTTCTCTTGCCTGATTCTTCTGGCTAGGACTTCCAGTACTATGTTGAATAGGAGTGGACAGAAAAGGCATCTTTATCTTGTTCCAGTTTTCAAGGTGTATGTTTCCAGCTTTTGCTCATTTAGTATAATATTGGCTGTGGGGTTGTCATAGGTGGTTCTTATTTTTGAAGTATGTTCCTTCAATGTCTAATTTGTTGAGGGTTTTTAACATGAAGCGGTGTTTAATTTTATGAAGTCTTTCAACATCAACTGAGATGATCACGTGGTTTTTGTTTTTTGTTCTGTTTATATGATGAATCACATTTATTGATTTGTATATGTTGGACCAAACTTGCATCCCAGGGATAAAACCTAATTGATTGTGGTGGATTAGCTGTTTCATGTGCTGCCAGATTCAATTTGCTACTACTTTGTAGAGGATATTTGCATCTATGTTCATCAAGATTATTGGCCTGAAGTTTTCTTTGTTGTGTCTCTGCCAGGTTTTGATATCAGGATGATGCTGCTCTCATAAAAGGAGTTAGGGAGGAGTCCCTCCTCCTCAATTTTTTGGAATAGTTTCATTAGTAATGGTACCAGCTCTCCTTTATACATCTGGTAGAATTGGGCTGTGAATCTTTATGGTCCTGGGCTTTTTCTGGTTGGTGGGCTTTTTCTGGTTGGTAGGCTTTTTATTACTGACTCAATTTCAGAACTCATTATTGGTCTGTTCAAGGATCCCATTTCTTTCTGATTCAATCTTGGGAGGTTGTATGTTTCAGGAAATTGTCCATTTCTTCTAGGTTTTCTAATTTGTGTGCATGGAGGTGTTCATTGTAGTTTCTGAGGGTTTCTTTTTTTTGTATTTCTGTGGGGTCAGTGGTAACATCCTCATTGTCATTTCTGATTGTGTTTATTTGAATTTTCTCTCTTTTTTTCTTTACTAGTCTAACTAGAACTCTTATTTATTCTTCCAAAGAACAAATTCCTAGATTTGTTAATCATCTTTTGTATGGTTTTTCACATCTCAGTTTCCTTCAGTTCAGCTCTGATTTTGGTTATTTCTTTTCTTCTGCTAACTTTGGGGTTGGTTCCTCTAGGTGTGATATTAGGTTGTTAATGTAAGATCTTTCTAACTTTTTGATGTGGACATTTAGCACTATAAATTTCCCTCTTAACACTGCTTTAGCTGTGTCCCAGAGATTCTGGTATGTTGTATCTTTGTGCTCATCAGCTTCAAATAATTTCTCAATTTCTGCCTTAATTTCTTTGTTTACCCAAAAGTCATTCAGGAGCAGGTTGTTTAATTTCCATGTAATTGTATGGTTTTGAGTGATTTTCTTAGTATTTATTTCTATTTTTATTGTGCCATGATCCAAGAATTGTTTGGTATGAATTCGGTTTTTTGAATTTGCTGAGAATTATTTTATGACCAATTGTGGTCAATTTTAGAGTATATGCCATGTGCAGACAGAAAGAATGTATATTCTGTTGGTTTGTGGTAGAGAGCTCTGTAGAGGTCTATTAGGTCCATTTGATCAAGTGTCGAGTTCAGGTCCTGAATATCCTTGTTAGTTTTCTTTACTGATGATGTGTCTAATACTGTCAGTGAGATGTTGAAGTCTCCCACTATTATTGTGTGGTTATCTATGTCTCCTCATGGGTCTTTAAGAACTTCCTTTATGAATCTGGGTGCTCCTGTGTTGGGTTCATATATTTTTAGGATAGTTAGTTTTTCTTGTTGAATTGAACCCTTTGCCATTTTGTAATGCCCTTCTTTGTCTTTTTTTATCCTTTGTTGGTTAAAGTATGTTTTGTCTGAAATTAGAATAGCAACCCTTGCTTTTTTCTGTTTTTCCTTTCTTTGGTAGATTTTTCTGCATCCCTTTACTTTGAGCCTGTGGATGTCACTGGATGCGAGATGGGTCTCTTGAAGACAGCATCCATTGGGTTTTGCTTCTTTATCTAACTTGTCTCTCTGTGCCTTTTAATTAGGAAAAAAAAAATGGAATGCTTCATGAGTTTGGCTGTCATTCTTGTGCAGGGGCCATACTAATCTTTTCTGTATTGTTCCAATTTTAGTATATGTGCTGCCAAAGCGAGCACTACTGAAATGGTTTTTAAAGTTGCCCTAACATCCACTGCTTCCCTCTATTCATTCACAAAGGAAGATGTGCTCCTTCTCTGGTTGAAAGACTACTCATCAAAATAGAATCTTTATTCCACTTTCTTCTGATTTCACATAAAATTGGCTCCAGCAATATTCCCTCACTCTACTTTATTTCCACTTAAACCTTTAAATGTAGTCAGCCTTTGAATGTAGTCAGGATTTTCCTTCAGAGAAAACAAGCAACCTGCCTAAAACAGACTATCCATTCATGCTTATCCAAGTCTCTTCTAAGTGTTGATTACACTTGCTGCCATTCACTTCTCAATGTGTTGCATTTTGCCCTTTGTTCCCACTAACCCACTTAACTTAAACTAACCCACTATTATCTCCGATTATTAGATACAATTTCTGTTTTTAATCTCACTGGATGGTGCTGTCCTGTTGTCCCCCTAGATTTTTATCTTTCCTTCTCATCCTTTTTCACTGACTCTTAAATGTTATGGTTCTCCAGGGTTTGCTTCAGACCCTTTCTTTCAATGTGACCTTCTTGAGTGGTCACATTCATTTTACAGTTTGTGTCTACATGTTGATAACTTGTAGAGTTAACTAATCTCTAACTCTGTCTCAGACTCGCCCACAGGTGTCTTTCTTATAAACAGCTAAAAACATGGAATAAAACAGATGAAGACATGGATATTACTATATCTGGGGAGGATACAAGGTCCTCCCTGGGATGGGCAATGTGGACCCTGCTTGTCTCTCTGGCCACATCTCCTTCTAACTCCAGCAACTCCCAAACATGTGATATTGTTCCTAGTCCTGTGCCTTTGCTCATGCTAACCATTATGCTTGTAACACCCTCACCCACCCCACTGCATTCCTTTCTTGGAATGACTAAGCATTCCTATCTCTCCAGGCTGGGCTAGGTGCCTTCCCGCATTCCCCATCCTCTGTAGCAACATCTCTCAAAGCATTGACTAATACTGTATTAAAACCATCTCTTTGTGAATTAGCTCTTGCCCTTTATCTGTGAGGTTCCTCAGGGCAGATGTTGGGTCTTATCGATCTTATTCTCAGTACCAAGCACAGGGTCTGTCATATTAAAAAGTGCTCAACAAACAGCTGTTTAACTGAACTGGTAATTACATTGACTATATTAGGCTCTAAGAAAAACTAAGGAAACAAGAGATGGTTTCCCCCTATTCTTTTGCAGGAATAAAACCACACAATAAAAGCCCTACCAGACAATTTTCACATGTGAATCCATCTGTTCTGTGAGTATACTCTGGAGGTGTTTGCTTCAGATCAAATCAGGCTATAAAAAGAGAACTGAATCTTGATCAGGGGTTGCCAGAGTATGGCCTTCTTTAGAGCTAAATGACAGCTCTAGTTATAGATTTTGTTTCTAAGGATGACATTGGTGCTGCAGTACATTGCAACAGGAATGCATCAGTGTGAGAGCACTTATGATGGTTTCCTTTCCCCCTCAGCATAAAAATAGCTTGTCCCTCTAGGAAAGATAGCCTGACTTTATTAATGAAAGTGAAATTCTTCCTAAGGCCCTAACAGTATATTTAAAATGAATAGAAAGCACCACCAATGACAGATAAGATGAATTTTGCCCAAATTGTCCTGGAGCCCTTTCCTATGTATTTTGGAGAATATGAAATAAATACATGGGTTACCATATCTTCTGAAAAGATATTGAAGACACATTTCTTTACTCTGACTTTCCTATATGTATTTCATTCTATACTTACACAACTTAAAGTTACTGTTCTGAGAAGTGGTTTCCAGTTTTCCCAATGAGAAGTAAAAATGAGTTCTTAAACCAGAAATAAAACTTTCATAAAGTCACTTTAAGGGTTTATATTGTATCCCCCAGCAACTTGTGATTAATAGATTGCATGTTTAACATTAATATCCATGTTTAAAGAGATCTCTGGTTACCTAACACAATTTCTTTATTCCTTTTAGCAACATAGTTCAATTTTTAAAATACAAGTGTTATTAAAAACATCTCAAATCTTTCCTTGCCTTGCTTTTTTCTAGACAATTGTATAAACTTGAAAGCACCAAGTAGCTATTACATCTTCCATTTTTACTTCTTGGACTTAGACTGTTTTACTTCCTATGAAGCAAATGCCTTTGATATATATACACTTTGATAATAACTGGTAACATTATCTGACCTTAAAGGTTATTGGTAGAGATGAACATATTATAATGTTTTCTTATTTCTAAAAAAAAAAAAATACATCCCGACTTCATAGCTTATAATTTTGCCCATATCAGATATGAAGGTAAGAAAAGCTACACAACCTATAATTTCTGTTTTTGATAATAGAGGATTATAAAACCTGTTCAGAATTTATCCTCATTCTGTAAGAATGTGCCCTATTCCAACAGACATTTCAGAACATCAATTACTATGCATGCAGTAATTTTGAGATATTATTTATAATTCCTTAAAATGAAACTAAGATCTTTCTACTCTAACCAGTTTTAAATAAGGATCCGTCAGTGAATCCAGGACTAGTACTACATGAAATTGTCAGAAAAAAAAATGTGTCTATTTTTTCAGGGAGAGAGGATCAGTGGTTTACATCAGATTCTCATTGTTCTCATTGTGATTAACAAAAGGCTAAATTCCACTGAAATAAGTAAAGCCTGCTCGTAGATATTCTTCCTTCTATCCTTTCTTTCATTTCTTCCAGTATCTTCTAGATTCAAAATTCACTGGAAAGTACATTGAACTAGAAGTCACAAAACCCAGGAGCTACTTCCAATTCTATTATTTACTAACCATGTGGCTTTGGGCAAATAGCATTTCTCTAAGCGTTAGTTCTCTTATCCTAAAATATAGATAATAATGCCCTACAGTTCCCCACCAAATGGGGAGGGCATAGCCTGAGTTATCAGAAACCAACAGCCGATTCCCCTTTCCTGAATGGAGATAAACATAACAATAAATCAACATAATAATTAGAATGTAAAAGAAGAAATCACTTTCATGGTTAAGACATTTTAAAATTTCACTCATCAGTTATGTAATGAAAAAGATGTCAAATCAGGAAAGGAAAAAATGTGATTTATTTAGTCAGTGGGGAGGACAGACACCCTGGTTGCCAACCATGCCGGTTCAGAGTGACAGCCCTGGAAGGCTGCTCTCGGATAAAGTCATTCCTGTCAGCATTCTCACTGACATTCTTTATAAGATACATTTTGCTACCATTACATTAAATTTAACTTATGTTATAAATGATGGGAAAGTTTTTGTCTTAAAAATAGTCACTCCATCTGTATTCTGAAATTATTCTATTTCACCGCCATTGTTTATTGTGCTGTCTCAACCAAGCACTGTAGTCCATTCCATATGGGACACATCAGAGTAGCAATCTTTTTGATGGTTCAAACCTCAAATAAAATAATGTATGCATAAAGATCCCTAAAGTATTTAGTTTAAGTGTTCTTGCACACAATTCAACAATTTCTGAGTGATGCTTTTTCTCCCATTTTCTTCCTTCTCTTTCTCTCTCTCACTCATCCTCTCAATAACAGACAACAACAAAAAATCAATATAATAATAACTAGATGTTAGTCTATTTTGTGTTGCTGTAAAGGAATACCTGAGATTGGATAATTTATGAAGAAAAGAAGTTTATTTGGCTCATGGTTATGCAGGCTGTGCAAGCATGGCACCAGCATCTGCTGGGCTTCGGATGAGGCTTCAGGAAGCGTTTACTCATGGAAGAAGGCAAAAGGGGAACAAATGTGTCCCATGGTGAGAGAGGAGGAGGTGCCAGGCTCTTTAAACAACCAGCTCTCACATGAACAAATAGAGTGAGAACTCTCATTCATTACCATGGGGAAGGCACCAACCCGTTCATGAGGGATCCGCCCGCATGACCAAAACAACTCCCATTAGGCTCCTGCCCCAACACTGGGGACCACGTTTCAACGTGACATTGGGAAGGGAACAAATTTCCAAACTATATCACTAGCATATAGTAGAACTTACTATCTGCCAACCATTCCACTCAATGCTAATAAACATATTTATGACATTAATGGATTCATGATCAATGTATTATTTCATTTAATGTTCTTTACAACCCTATGAGGTAGGTACTATTAATAATCCATTTTAAAGCCAAGGAAACTGAAGCACAGAGAGGCTAAGTCATTCTTGACATAAATGCTAAGTGATGGAGCTAAAATTAAAACTCTAGATATTAGGCTTCTGAGTCTCAAGCATCAAACACAATGTAATGAATGTGAAATAAGGGTAGGACACTAGCATTCTTTCAGCTGTCAACAAGTATTTCTTGAGTGTGTAGAAAGTGGTAGATCCTGTCCTATGGTGCTGGAACTATGAAGGTAAGTAAGATGTAATCCCAGCTCTCAAGAAGTTTACAGTCTATTTCTGTGCTGTCCAATATGGTAGCCCCAAACCACCATGTAGTTACTTTAATTTAAATTTAAGGAATTTTAATAAATAATTTAAATTAAATATTTATAATTTACACTTAAGATATAAATTATGATAAACTAAACTAAAACAATTTAATTGAATATAATTAAAATTAAATAAAACTTAAAATTTAGTTTTTGGTCATACTAGCCATATTTTGGATGCTTAATAGCCACATGTGACTAGCGGCTGCCGTACTAGACAGCACAGATTAGAACATTTTCATCATTGCAGCATGTTCTATAGGAAGTGCGGGTGTGCTTGTGTAGGGGTGGGGGGATCAAGTAAACAGGGAACTTTTCAGTAGCTTGTATCAGCGCTATGCAGAGTGACAGGGTGCCTTAGGAGCACAGAAAAGGGGACACCTGACTCAAGCCACAGGACTTAGAAATAGAAATGCTTTTCAGTGCAGGTGAATAGATCTAAGCCAAGATCCAGAAGGTTAAGTGAGAATTAGGCAGACAAAGTGAGGGAATGGATATTTTAGGCAGAGGTGAGATGTTTCTTAGCTATTTTTTAGCATGACTCTTCCAGATCAAATATTTGGTACTTAAGTACTATTCTCAAAGAATCTGAAATATTAAGGCAAAAATACCTGAGAGCCCAGGATGGAAATGGGTCATGGGATGGGGAAAGGAAATGCCCATCCTCATCCTGATGTTTTATACTCTGCCCTACAGCAATGCTGAGCTGCCAGCAAACAGGCGCAGTCTCCTCCAGCTTTTATCAGGCAGCCGCATTAATCAGAGACTTTCAACTATCATTCCATACCACAGCAATGTGAAATGCTCCAGGCTGTCACCTAGTCCTTTCAGGGTAGTTTCTCTTTATTTTATTTTAGTCCCATTTCTTAAAATGTAGGGACTGTCAGAGTGCAGTGACAATTATGAGAATTTCAAAGGTGACTTTGCCTATCAAGCCGATTTCCTAACAGCCTGATGGAGTGGATCATATCACTCATTATTTTCATGAGGAAGAATGCTGTAGTGTGGCGATTTACAGAAAAGGTTATTGAATATTGAGGTAATAATATTGTAACTTTTCCTCCACATTTCAAGGGCATAAGTTGGAAACTGTCATTAATATGGTGAAATCATAGATATTAACAAGGATTTAATAAGTTATACACACACACAAAAATCCATTCTCAAAGGAATACATTCAGAAGAATACTATTCATTAATTCATTGGCAAAGGATTATATGAATTCAAAAAGGAATTAAAACTGAATGACTTATGAGACTAAGTAGGAAGATATACAAATTTTCACTTTTAGGCCATCAATTTTCATTTTTCTGAGTTGAATAAGACTAAGGGGATTTTTGACTGAAAATAAACTTGGACATACAGGTTTGTCTTAACCTAAATTGGCCCCATGTTTTCTTTAATCTTTATTTACCTAGAAAGGCCCATGACTCTTTTTTCAAATTAGATTCTGTTTTTTTTCTCCTTACATAAAAAGACAACAGGAGAGGGAAGGCAGGGATAATTTCTGGGATCAAATATTTAAATTTTGTTGTCTCCTGAAATGTTTTTATTTCATAAATAGCCTCAGTGTGTGCCTCTGTAGTTATTGTTTCAGCCTACTGTTCTATAAACTAGAAGTAACCTCAACCATAAAACTCAGTATATTTATTATTATTTAATATTTTAATGCATTATTTAGCAAACGCATTCCATTTGTTAAACTTTTGTAGTACACAGAGCAGTATCCTATTTATCACCCTGGATCCACACAAGAGCCCTTTAATGTAGGCAAAACAATTAGCATTGCTGCCATTTTAGCAAAGAGAAAGTCTTGCTAGACTGAGAGAAAGTCTCAGCTAGGCTAAAATCGTGGCCCAAGATCATGGAACTGGTCCTCAAACACAGTCTCAAGATTCAGTGCTCTTTTCACTTTGAGCCAATAAATCTGGGGAAATAGAACAGCAACTAAACTAATAACTGTCATTCAAGGTCAGTCTGTTCATCTTAATTAACACAGGCTGGGAAGGCACAATCATTGATGGGTTCCTCTCCTTGAAGTTACATTATTGGCCTAGCTGGTTGTGATAGTGATTGGAAAAACAGAAACTAGCTCTAACGAGAAATATGTAACCTGGGTACAAATGAGTGGTGGCTCTGGAAACTCCAGCAAAGGCACGTACTCTGCAGTGGAAGCATGAGAAGGGAATGCTGGGGTGGGAAGGAGCACTGTAAGCCTGGAAAAGCAGCAGCACACATTTCTGATACTATTCCAAGGCTCTCATCCTTCTACTACAAGAGGAGGCATTGGTGATTCTATTGATTAAGAGAAGAGCACAGTGGAGCTGGAAAATGCCATAGAAATAATTTCTTTCAACCTCTTAATAAAGAAAGAAATGGATTTAAACAGGTTCTTCACCACCCCAGTGTCCCACAGCTTGACAAAGCCAGGACTAGAACCAATATCCTCGAACTGCAAGTGCAATGCTTTTTAACAGAGACTTTAATTCAGCATTAACCAAACTGTTCCATACAGCTTGAATATCCTGTGAGATGTGAACAGATACTTCTATAAATAAAGAAAACAAATAAATAAGGAAGGTTAGGCTTCCACATGCAAATAAGTTTGGGAAATGCAGTTAATCACTATTTTAAAACTTTATTTACTGTAAAAATTCTCAGAACCTTTACATGATAATAGGCACTATGTATTTTTAAGGGCAGCAGATATATTATGTATGATTTCCCCAATTTCTTTTTTACCATGGAACATTTCTTTGAGGAAAATCCTACTACTATCTATATCACAGCATATTACATTTCCACAGAGTATAGTTTGGGAAAAGCAGGTCTAATGTTATGAAATGTTCTCAATGGACTTTCCAGAGTTCTTCTGAGTGAGTTTTCATGTTTTTTTTTGTTTTAATGTTTGAAAATAGGGAATAAAAAGAAATAGTCTCAGCTTCTGGCAGCACAACTCTCTTTCTACAAAGAACTAGAAAATAATTTTATTAAATGTCTAGGCTCAAAGAAAGTAAGAACAGTCTTCAAGGGAGTCCTCCACTTCTAAAAAATACCATGAGCTAAAACCTGAGCACTGGGCCATATGTACATGCGAGTGCATGCGCACAAATACATGCACACACATGCGCGCGCACACACACACACTCCTAGGAGAAAGGAAGGCAGGGATGCCCTAAAGAAAGAGGCTGATATCGGCACAACACTCAAGAGAATAAGCCTTGACACAGAGGCAATAAGGACAAGCTGAACCTGAGGCTGAATTAAATTGAATTAAATTACAGACCCAGTGAAGATGCTAAATGGTAGCACATTCTGGCATCTAGCAGAAGCAAAAGTAAATTTCCGAAAAAGAAAAATATCCTCAACATAAGTCTTAGAATCACCGCAGGTTTGGATAGACCAGTTGTGGGCTCAAATCAGAATCACTGAACATAAGGAAACAAATAAGCATGAATGAAAGGCAGCAAGGAAAAAAAAAAGATTTCGGTCGCCAAGAATTTCATATACAACAATTATAAGAAAAATATTATAAAATAATTATGTAAGCAACATTTTTTTAGAAAACATAAAAGAATGGACTTCCACTTCCAGGAAGACAAAGTAGGACATACTTTTCCTTACTATTTTCACTAAGTACAACTAAAACCCCAAGCCATTATACAACAAACATAAGAAGCCTATAAAAGGTAGAGAAAAGGAAGCAAACCAGCTAAAAATCACGGGACCCAAGAAACAATAAGCCCCATGTGTTTTTTTTTTTTTGCTTCATATATTCCAGGCTTTGAGCTAACGAATCCAACAACCCAGAAACACCAGTGGGTACAGATAAGAAAAAAGTTCCAACAAAAGTCTGCTTTCTGTAGCCAATAGTCCAGCAAAGGAGCAGCCTATCAAGACAGAAAACTTCTAGATGATAACTACTCTATCCCTGTCAAACACCACAGGAAAACAGTGTGGCCCCATACCCAACCACACCAACAAAGGACAAGTAGGGCCTAGACTTCTACCTTCCAGTGTTGTTATGAGGCCCCCAAATACTCCCTCCAGAGTGATGTTAGAGAAGACTAAGTAGGGAAACAGGCTTTTATCCCCATTAGTCAATAACAATTTCCTTACCCATGGTGCTAGTGGAAACCACATATCATCCTAGACTTCTGTCCACACCCAGTAGTAGCAAGATACCATTCTGAATCCCCACTGATAGGGTGTCAGAATAGGCCTAGTGGAGAATTTTTTCACCATCACAGTGGTGATGGGGCCACAGCCACTATGGTGTTAGCGGAGATCACGTGGGAAGCCAGAACTACCACTCACTCCTAGCAGTAATGAGAAGCTTCACTATTGGTGTCAAAGGAAACTGAGTGGGAAACCTGAACTTTTATTTCCACATGTTATTAACATAGAAACATCCCTCCCTTTCCCTACTGGAGTGGTATTAGAAGGGGAAAATCACATCTTACTTATATGGGAGAAACAAGTAGAATGACAGCAGATTTCTTATGAGAAATCACAGAAGCCAGAGGAAAAAGTAGCAGAATGTTTTTTCAACTGCTGAAAGGAAGTGTCAACTGAGAATCCTAACTAGCAAAAATATGCTTCAGTAATGGAGAGAAAATCAAGACATTCTCAAATGAAGGAAATGAAGAAAAACTAAGAAAATCTGTCACCAGCAGACCTACCCCATATGAAAAGCTAATTAAAATTCACTGTGGCTGGGCATGGTGGCTCATGCCTGTAATCCCAGCACTTTGGGAGGCCGAGGTGGGTGGATCACCTGAGGTCAGGAGTTCGAGACCAGCCTGGCCAACATGGCAAAACCCCGTCTCTACTAAAAATACAAAAATTAGCCAGGTGTGGTAGCATGTGCCTGTAGTCCCAGCTACTTGGGAGGCTGAAGTAGGAGAATCTCTTGAACCTGGGAGGCAGAGGTTGCAGGGAGCCAAGACCGCACCACTGCACTCCAGCCTGGGTGACAGAGCGAGACACCATCTCAAAAAAAATTAAAAAAAAAAAATTCACTAAACAGAAAGAAGACAATAAAAGAAGGAAACTTGAAATATCAAACAGGAAGAAAGAACACAGTTGGCAAAAATATGGATAAATACTACTAACTTTCTTTCTCCTAAGTTTTTTTAAAAGTTGTATTTCACAAAAAATAATATTATATGGTGCCATTCTAAATGTATATATAGAAAACATTTAAAACAATTATAAATAGAGTGGGGTAAAAGGACATAAAAGGAGGTGATTTTCTATATTTCACTTGAACTGGTAATTTTATGACACCAGTAGACAGTGACAATTCTGTATATAAAATGTAATACTTAGAGCAACCACTAAAAAGTTATATAAAAAGGTATACTCAAAAGCTCTACAGAAACATCAAAATGGAATTATAACTAATGTTCAAATATCCCATAGGAAGGTGTAAAAAAGAAAGCAGAAAAGTTAAAAGCAGAGAAAACAAATAGAAAACAAAAAATAAGATGACAAACTTAAGTCCTAATATATGAAAAATGATAGGAAATATAAATGGCCTAAATACATAAATTAGAATAGAGATTAGCAAAGCAAATTTAAATCCACCAAAAGACATAAAAATCTTAAATGTGCATATGCCAAACAAAAGAGCTAAAAAAAATGTGAAGCAAAAACTGATAGAACTAAAGGAGAAATACACAATCGTCAATTATAGTAGAAGACTCCAACACTGCTCTCAACACTTGAGACAGCTAGATAGAAATCAGCAAGAACGTAAAAGAACTCAACATTATCATCCAACACCCTAATTGATATTTATAGAATACTCCACCCACCAACAACTGAATACATATTACTTTCAAGTTTCCGTAGAACATATATAAAGTAGACAATATCTGGGTCATAAAAATACCTCAACAAATTTAAAATAATAATATTTAAACTTATACAGTGTGTTCTCCAACCACAACATAATCAACCTAGAAATTAATAACCAAAAAAACAAAATCTCCAAACACTTGGAAACCCAACAATACATTTTTAAATAGGCTGTATGTCAGAGAGGGTGCCTCAAGGAATTTTTAAAAAAATATACATTGACTGAATGAAAATAAAAATAAAATATTTCAAAATTTGTGGAACATGACTAAAACAGTGAAGAAAGGGAAATTAATAGCTCTGAATGCATAGAATGGAAAAGAAAAAAAGTGCCAAGTTAATCACGTAAGGTCCCACCTCAAAAACCTAGAAAAACAGAAAGCAAATAAACCCAAGGCAAGCAGAAGGAAGAAGGTAATAAAGATAAGAGCAGGAATCACTGAAGTAAAACAGAAAAGCATTAGAAAATGTAAATAAATCAATGAGCTTGTTCCTTGAAAAGATCAATAAAGTTGACAAATCCGTAGCAGAACTGACAAATAAAAAAAGAGAAACCTTATGTTTATACAAAAACCTGTACATATATGTTATTAGCATATTTGTTTGTGATAACCAAACCTGGAATCAGTCCAGATATTCAGCAACAGGTGAATGGTTAAACAAACTGTGCAATACTGTGCAATACTCCTTAGCAGTGAAAAGGAATGAACTATGGATACACACAGCAACCTGGATGAATTTCCAGCAAATTATGAAGTGAAAAAGTCAATCTCACTTGTTATAGAATACATGATTCCATTTATGTAACATTGCTGAAAGTGACAAAATTATTGATTTCCAGGAGTCAAAGCCAGGATGACGTGGGAGGGAACTGGATGTGGCTATAAAAAGGTAACATGAGGGACCCTTGTGATGATGGAAATGTTCTATATATTAACTGTATCAATGTCAATATCCTGGGTATAATATTGTCCTATAGTTTGGCAAGATATTATCATTGTATAGTATCTTGTATTATTTCTTACAACTGCATGTGAATCTATAATTGTCAAAAAAATGACAATTTAAAGCATATAGTAAATAGGTAAAAGAATAAAATAAAAACAGACTACAAAAATGGTCAAAAATATTTTATTTTATTTTATTTTATTTTCTTCAACTTCTATTTTAAGTTCAGGGGTATATGTGCAGGATGTGCAGGGCTTTACATACTCTTGGGGCCGGAGTATGTAAAACTCCTGGGTCTCTATGTGTGACTGAGTGGCTGCTCTGCGGCGACTCCACACAAGTCTGTGTATCGGACCCAAGGCCCTGGTGATATGGGCTCACGACAGGATCTCCAGATCCGTGGGTTGCAAAGTTTCCCAGGCAGGTCACACAATCACTCACCGCTTCCCTTGGCTGGGGGTGGGGGGTTCATTTGGCTCCATGTGGCTCCCAGGTGGGCCAATGTCCACCAACCCCGCTCCTGCTTTCCTCAGTTCCATGTGGGTCAAGTTGTTTGCCTAGTCAGTCTCAATGTGAGAACCTGGATATTTCAGTTGAAGGTGCTGAATTCACTCATCCCTTTTCATTCCCCTCTGTGAGTGCTGCAGACCACACCTGCTTTTGATCAGTCATCTTGTTTGTTCCAAAAATATCTTTAAATTAGATCAGGCCAAGTGTGGTGGCTCACACTTGTAATCACAGCAATTTGAGAGGCCAAGGCAGGCAGATCACTTGAGGCCAGGAGTTTGAGACCAGCCTGAGAAACATGATGAAACCTTCCTATAAAAAATACAAAAATTAGCCGGGCATGGTGGTACATGCCTATAGTCTCAGCTACTCAGGAGGCTGAGGATTACTTGAGCCTGGGAGGTTGAGGATGCAGTGAGCCGAGATCATGACACTGCACTGCAGCTTGGGTGACAAAGCGAGTTTCTGTCTCAAAAGAAATTAAATCAAATTAAATTGGAACTTTTAGCATCTTTTGCTTCCTCTTTAATCACCAAAATTCCTCTCTCTAAGGAATAAGACATAAAAATTGCTGCTCTAACTTTGTCTAGGGGGAGAAAAGGGCCAAGAAGCTAAGGTACCGCTCTACCCAAACACACAGAACTGGCTCTCCTCCTTATAGTTCTAGTGTAAACAATTGCTGCAAATCTAAGAGCAAAAGGCTTCTGCCAGTCCCCTCGGTACTAATCCTTTAAGTTCAGTTTTTCATAAATTATGTCAATTGGAATCTGTCTAAATAACTTCTTAGGGCTGCCGGCAACATGTGGGACTTCTTACATCTCTTGCAGTCTGAAGCTACAAAGAACAATTTCTAAAAATTCTTTAGCATGCTCTCTAGTATTAGGAAGAATGTGAAGATGCCCAGATCTGCGATGCCATCGGCAGCAGAGGTAATTTACTAGGAAAACAAGCTCAAGCAGCAGAGGCAAAGGCTGATTTTCAGGTTGGCTTCCCTACCTGTCATCTTCCTCTTGACGTGTGAACATTTTTAAATGTCAAAGGGGTCATTCAGCAAGTTACAGAGACAAGAAGCCCTAGGGAGGAAAATATAGTTCTCCTCCTAACCTGGTCAACCTTCTCTATTACATATTTCCTTCAAGCACAGTAATCGCTTTCACTCTCACATTACCAACTCCCCTCATCGCTCCTTCCTATATCTTTTCAAATCAAGTCTCTAGAATTTTACAAATGAAAATCTAACCAAATCCCCTATTGTTACTGTTATGAATGACACCTGTTATACATCAAAGCCAACATCCACTCTTTTCTCTGGTGCAGCAGACAGACATTTGATGTCAAATACAACAGGATAAAATGAAAAGTACATGGAAGAAGAAGAAACATACATGTTGTTCCTAGTTGACAGTACAATGTAAAAAGGTAGGGACTGAATCACTTGATTGTCTTAATTATACTCAATTTTTCCAGACAGCACTTGGCACAGGCTTCAATATGCTATGTAGAGAAATTTAAAATTTAAGTCCATGGGGTAAAATCATATGGTTTAGAATGCTTTGCTTTCAGAATAGAAGTGTCTCTCTATAAAGCAACCTCCTTTTTTTCCAAAAGAAACACTCTGAAAAGAAGAGAGCATCTTCTATTTTTTTTTAACATTTCAATAGCATATTAGTAGGCAAAGTAGAAGCGAGTTTTATTAGATAAATAATAAATAACTTTCATTTGGACTAGAACCTCTTGAAAATGCCCTCACTAGAAGTCAGTAGTTTCGGTTTGTGTGTAGTCTCTTGTGGAAAGTTTAATATTTATTCAAGGAGTCACCAAAGAACATTAACAGGTCCAGAACTCGTTAGTTGTATAACCATATATTAGCTATGTAATCACTTATTGGCCCCATGAATGGGCAAATCACCTTTCCTCTCTCTATTGCAATTTTCAATTGATTCCAACCTGTCCCTACATACTTCTTGAGGATTATGAGCAAGCAGGCTCTATTTTATATTGATAATACTGAATTTCACATTCCATTCCATTCCATTCTAATCTATTCCACAATATGAATTAATTAGTTTATGACCCAACTCAAAATGCTATGAGGAAAAAAATGCATATTTCTTAAGCTCAGTGTTTGATAAATTATGTCTACTTGAAATAAAATCATGGTAGTAAAGGTTTCAATTAGAAATAATTTCTTCAACTCTAAACAGATTGCAAGAAAATGTGGTATGTGGGCAGAATGTGCAGAGATAAATGACTAATGGGGAAAAGTCATTTATCAGTTGATTCCTAGGAACTTGGATTTGGAAAAGACCTTAAAGAACATTTGGTCCAATGAAAGAATTTGTCTCCAGCAGCCAGAATACATGGTTTTCTCATAAGTTAATGAATACTTCATTTGATTAGTCTAAGACTGTGTTAGGCAGTTCTTTCATTCCTGGGCAGCTTACTTAGAAATGTCTTTTTTTCTGGTGAACCAGTTTCCCTACTTCTAACTGCCAAACTTAGACCTTAATTCTGCCTTTGCTGTAAGGCAGAAACAATGTTATCCCTTTCCCACCTGATAGCCCTGCCCAGTATTTGTAGACAGTCAGTCTGGCTTCCGTAATCTTCTTGGTTGTCGGTTAAATAACCCTTATGTGAAAGTGCTGGCATATCCAGTCTGTTTATAACAAAATCAACTTAACCATAATATGCTGCTTTGAAAATACCCCACAAAGAGTCAGAGTACAGTTTCAGGAAAACCATATTATTGGGTGTCAGAAAGTTTGGAGTTGGGTGTTGGCCCTAACACTTTCTAAATGTGTAAACTTGGGGAAGTCCTCTAGCATCTAACTGCTTGTACTGCCCTTGTAATGTTTTGTTATTGTATTAGTCCATTTCATACTGCTCTGAAGAAATACTTGAGACTGGGTAATTTATAAAGAAAAAGAGGTTTAATGGACTCACAGTCCCACACGGCTAGAGAGGCCTCAAAATCATGGCAGAAGGTGAAGGAGGAGCAAAGGTACGTCTTATATGGTGGCAGGCAAGAGAGCGTGTGCAGGGAATCTGCCCTTTATAAACCATCAGATGTCATGAGACTTATTCACTATCATGAGAACAACACAGGAAAAAACCACCCCCATCATTTAATTACCTCTGACCGTAGGGATTATGGGAGCTACAATTCAAGATGAGATTTGGGTGTGGACACAGCCAAATTATATCAGTTATCAAAGTTAAGCTAATTTTATCAAATGATTGGCTAGTATTCCCTTTTTTCTATAATCTGGAAGGATCTGTGTAAGAAGTCTGTTTTAAGTGATGAAGAAAGTAAAGTTCCATAAAGCAACAAATAGCATTTTAATAAGTTTCTGATAAGAGAAGATCTCTTTTTTTTCAGAATTAAATTTTATTTCACATTGATAGAAACCATGAAAAACATTTACATTTTCCCATGTTACAGCACAATATTTCAACGGAATATTTCTTGCCATAAATAATATCTTGCTGATTTGTAGAAGTGAAATAACAGTTTATGTTCTCCAAGGTAAAGAAAAATGACATAGTAAATGGTTGTTTAAAATTTTTAAATCCAGACATAAACATATGGCTTCATTATTAACATCCTATAAGGTCCATTACTAAATTATTTCCATTATCAATTAGCACCCATTTATAAAGATGCATTCTTAATATTGTTTTGGTCAGCTGGAATACAGCAGAAAAATTAACACAGTTCAGAAATATCAAGCATACATTTTTGCTACATATTAATCTGTATGGTAACTACATTTTATGTGTAGGGTTCTGACTAGCCTTTATTACCCATAAGTTTGTTTTCAAATAATTTTTACCAGTAATCTGGAAATTTTGACAATTTAAAATGATTGCTATTTTTATGTTTGCATGAAAAACTAATACAAAAAATAATTTGACTAAAATGAAAATTTCAAATAAGTCCACTGGCAGATGAAAGTAAAGCAAAAAATTACAATAAATTCCTCATCTTCTACAGTAGTTGGTTTCAAACATGTATACAAAGTAAACTCTATGCTATGGGAAAGTGAAATCATCTTAGAAGTTAGTTTTTAAGATCAGTCTTAAAGATATTTCAGAACATACTAGAATATGATCTAATTATTCTTTCAGCTGTTTACAGAAAAATAAAACCACAGAATTATTCCTGTTACCTGGGTTGAAGAACCTAATAGCTAGGTGTAAATTTGGATAAGGTACAGTAATTCGAAATAAGTAGTGCATGAAGTTTTAATGTCTGGTTTCTCTATAAAGCATAAATAGATTTTAAATACCTTATATCTGTGACCCAGAATGTCAAATTACAGCATGTATTGACAGTAGCTGTCTATGGCAGAGAGGCAATACTTGGTCTGCTATGAAGGACAAAAAAGAAAAAACATACTTTTTTTTTTCTTGAGAGAAAAGAGTATTAAATAGAAATAATATCAGGGAAAATAAAAGCCTGGTCCCAAAATAAAAGGGCCATTAAATGAAGAGAACGATTTTACTTTTTCTTGACAATAAACAGCATTATCCCTATTATTAGGAATAATGTAATACCACCTCATTCTTATTATGTATTATAATCATTATGTATATATGAACGCATATATAAAAATACAGACACTGCATAGTGACTAAGCAATTTTGGAATAAATCCATAGACTAAGTCACAACATGCATAAATTGTTTATATCTTAACTGCTCATTTATACCTGAACAAATTTTCATTAAGCATACTGCTAATTTTCAAATGATGTGGTAAAAAATCTGGTGGCAGTACTGTATTATTTTGCTGAATTACATTTGACAAAAAAGAAGCTACCTGCTTCATCTATTCTAATATAGTAGATCCTGGGTCGTCTTATAAGAATACATGTATAGAAACTTAAAAGATCATAAATTTCTCATGAGGAGACATTATTTGATCTGTGTTATTGGCATGTATTTGCAAAACATTTTAACACTGCAAAACATTAGAAATTTGAAGACTGGGCATGGGAAAAGGTTTATACTCTACTACAATGATGCTGGTGTACTTCTACACAAGGCCTCTTAGTGACGTCAATCAATTGGAGGTAGGAGTTTATCAATGAATTGCTTGACATTCATCATTTCCTGTTGACACGAACTGTGCATCATACCTTCATAGGTTTTAAAGGTCACATTGGCTGGATTCACCAATGTTTTTTAGTTTTTCAACCGTAAGAGAACCAAACATCAGGGGAACCAAAGGGTCACAATCCCCGTGGCACTGGAGAATAGAAATATCTCTATTAGCACCACCGATAGGACCCTGTGGAAAGGAAGCCCAAAGTGGAAGCCAGCAATTGAGTGCAGTGACACCTGCCAGTTTCTGGTGCGTGGTAAGGGCAGTATATAAAGATAAAGCTCCTCCCTGAGAAAACCCTCCCAAAATAATTCTGTTAGAAGGAATGCCATTCTTCACTTCTTGATCAATCAAAGCTTTTATATTTTGTGCTGCCTGTTTAATCCCAGATTCATCCTCCTGTGAATCTGGTGAAAGCCCAATAATATCAAACCATGAAGGCATAGCTATGTTCATATTTAATGTTAACAGGCCTAACAGGCGCATGCGGGCAGATATATTTGATATGTGAACTTATGATACCGGCAAAGGCTTCTGCCCATCCGTGCCCAGTATCTCCCAATCCATGCAGGAAAATCACCTCAGTGGTGGCCTTCCGGGGGGCGGGCACGATGGTGGGCAGCGGGGTTGACATGTTATTGCCGCACATACACCGCCTCAGCTCACAGCGCAAGCGGAAGGAAGAGCAGGCGCCCCGCCGCTGCCCAAGGGCGTGCGAGCGGCGAGTCCCAGCCGGCCCCACCGGCGAGAAGATCTCTTTCTAACTCACATTTATTCTGATATTAATTAAGAATTACAAATTGTACCTCTATTCTAGTTTGACTACTATAAGACTTTTTTAGGCACAGGGAAATTACAAGATAATTATCTGGGAATTTCAATGAAAAGAGCTAAGCTGTAAGAACAGAGTTTTCCAGCACTTCTAACCATCATCCAATTTTAGGTAATTGGATACGCACACATATACATAAAAATGCAACAAAAATTATATAATACATATTCTTGCTATTTGCAATGCCCAGTGATATTTTGGATTCTAGTTTGGTCTATATCTTTGTAGAAACATTCTGGTTGTGGCTGACATAGTTGATTTCATGACCCATTAATGTGTCACCAAATATAGCTTTAACACTCTAAGGGTCTTGGGATTTGTTTCAGACCATGACATTAATTCTCTGTATGACCCAAGTTGTTAATTTCTCTGTGTCTCAATTTCCTATAAAATTCCACTAAGCTTATATTTTTGCTGAAAGTATAATATGATACATATGTCTTAAGATTATTTTGAAGGAGGCAAAAAAACTTTTAAAAGTAAAAAGGTTGAATTCAGGGATTATTATCAGAGTCATAGCTCCTCCAGCAACCAAACTTTATGTCATAATACAGAAGTGTGGAGTTGGGAAGCAATTTTAAATAGTGAGTTTTAAGGATTATGTAAAATGTGCAACTACCATATGACCCAGCAATTGAAGTCTTGGGCATTTATTTTGGAGAAATAAAAACTTCTGTTCACATACAAACCTGTATGTGAATGTTCATAAAAGCTTTATTTGTCATAGCCTAAAACTGGAATCAGCTCAGATACCCTTCAACAGGTGAATGGTTAAACAAATTGATACATCTATACCATGGGATACTTACTTAGCAATAAAAAGGAACTAACTAGTGGTACATGTAGCCACTAAGATGAATCTCCAGAGAGTAATGTTGAGGTTTTTTTTTTTAAAGCCAATCTCCAAAAGTTACATACTATAGGCTTCCATTTATGTAATACTTTTGAAAAGACAAAAATTTAGAAATGGAGGAGAGATGAGCTGTTGCCAATGGTTAGGATCAGGACAGGGCTGGAGGAATGGAGTGAGTATGGTTATAAATGGGAGACAGGACAGGTATTTTTGGTGATGGAGCTGTTGTGTGTTGTGACTCTGATGGTTAGTACAAGAGCCTTCACATTTGATAAACTTGAATAGAACTAAACACACATGTGCATCAACATGAGTACACAAAAAACTGGGGAAACTTGAATAAGACAGGTGGATTGATTCAATGTCAATAACCTGCTTGTGTTATTGGACTATAGCACTGCAAGATGCTACCAGTGGTGGAAACTGCATAAAGGATATATGGGAGCTGCATGTATTATTGCTTACAACTAGATGTGAATCTATAATTATCTCAATAAAAACTCAATTAAAAATAGATTATTCAGAAGTTGTAGTACTCCCCTCTGTAAATACTCTCCTCTGCATGTGTGCTCACACACACACACACACAGACACACAAACACACACACACATACCTCTTCAGATCAGGGATACACTCCCAAACAATCTCTCTAAAGACCCAAGGTTAAGAATTCCTGTCTCTCTTTATGCCACCTCCACCTCAGCCCTTGTAGACATGGTGGCCTGCTCCCTGTGTCACCCTTCCCTTGACTGGGAACATTCCATGGTTTTTGCCCACCAAATCCACAAGTTACTCATTAATTAAAATAAGCCATCCATTTAAAAAAGAAGACAATTAGAGAGCAGTTTGTATTTCAATATGTTATTGGCAATCAGGAAATCTAGAAATCAATGCAGCCAGGTGTGAGAGACAAAGGTTCTTTCTGGTTGGGTACTCAGGAATTGCTTTTCAGGAAAGAGAAAGAATGATAGAGAAGGCTAAGATGTGTGGCTAGGACACAGGTAGAGTGTGGCCAGATTTTGCAGCGTCTTAGGTCCTGGCATGGTGAGCAGGGATTTCATTGTAGGAAGCGGAAGTATTTTAGGAAGATATCTGGAATGGCAAGGGAGAGTGTTAAAGATAGTGATATAGTTTGGATGCTGTCCCCACCCAAATCTCAAGTTGAACTGTAGTCCCAGTATTGGAGGTGGGGCCTGGTGAGAGGTGATTGGATCTTGGGAGCAGATTTCTCATAACTGGTTTAGTAGTATCCTCTTGGTACTGTGGTCAAGATAGTGAGTGACTTCTTGGGAGATCTGGTCATTGAAAAGTATATGCCCTGCCCTGCCTGCACCTGTCTTTGTCATGTGACACATCTGCTTCTGCTTTGCCTTCTGCCATGAGGCCCCTCCAGAAGCAGATGCCTGCACCATGCTTTCTGTACAGTCTGCAGAGCTGTAAACAAAGTGGCCAATCTGCCAGCTGCTTGTTTTCAGTCTGTGAGATGAGTACAAGAATTGAGAGTGTGAATTTGGAAACTTGTTCCTTCATTATGGATAGTTTGAGATTCATTACTTTACCATGGACATCTAGAGGTTAGGTGGTGTGGGCCTGGGAAGTGGTTAATCTAACAGAGAAAAGTGTAATCTGATAAAAGTTTAGACATGAGCTTTGAACAAGTGCTAAAAATTTGAAGTGGGATATGGCGTCATAAGCTATTATCAGAATACTGAAAGAAAAAAAAAGATAAACCTTATTAATAGGAAAACATTTCCCCCACAACTACTGTAGAAATTTCTGAGAAGAAAACCATAAGAATTCAATTCTTTTCATTCCAGACAAGGCTGCTTTTATTTTTCAAGAGAACATTAACGGAACAAGAAGTTTTTCAAATAAACACTCAGTAAGGGCGGGAACAGGCATAACTGATTTTTTTCAGTGTTTTATATTTCAAAAAAGCTATTAAAAGATTTGGATGCTTGAGGTATTACATAAATTATCCTATTATTGTAGCAATGAAAGGATTTCACACCCATACATTTATTCCTGATTTGATTTCCCTCCATGAAAATCCTTTGTTTTTTAAAAATATTTGTCACACTGCAAACATAATTCACAATAATCAAGCAATATACTTAAAAGGTAAGATTTTAAGTGCCTCATTAGGAGGGGGAAAAAAGCTGAACTCACATAGCTACTTAACAATCCACTTCTTTTCACATTGTATTTGCCAACCACCTAAAATTAATTGTCCTTAGAAACTTGTAACAGAAAGGTAATTTCACTTCACAATTTTTGTCTCTTATACCAAATAGCCTATTTGTTAGGGAGAATGGATGAACACTTGTTGGTTTCACGTCACTTGCAGACTCTGCAACTTGAAGGAAAGGCCAGCAGCACAGTGTTCTGGAATGTCCTGACACAAAGAAATATACATGATTAAATCCTAGGATATGTACAGAGATGATACTTTGAGGTGTTATCCTTCTATTCAAAAAAGTATTTTCTGTATCTGCCTCTTCCCACTGTCCCCTCCCCATTTAGGTCCATGGTCAGTACCTCAGGGGAGGGCAGAAATGAGCTCTCCAGTAGAAAACCCAGCTTTAGTACCCAAAAGCCTAAAAGGAGAGGACTGAGCAAGCATACATATGAAGGAAGATGGACTTCTCTAAGACCAGGAGAGGATTCCTCAAGGTTGGAAGGAGTAAAAAAAAAGAGAGCAGGATTCCCAAGAACCAAAGATATGGTCAGATGGTCATATCCCAGAGGTCAACTGCATTGTATGCCTGGGAAGGCGGGACCATAGACAGGCCAGGGAAGGATTTCTATGCCCTAAAAATGACACCACACAGCAAAAAGTGGGACCTGAGGGACCATGGGCACCAGGACTCTAAACACCTCAATGGCAATATGGGGGCCAGCAACCATTCTCCCTACCCCTACTTCAATTCAGTGAAACAGAGTAGGGTCTTGGAATTATTGAACCACACCAAGATGGTCATGTGGGGGTGGAACTTCAGGAAAGGGCTAATATTCTGCCCACTCTTAACAAACTAGGAGCTCAAAATCAAAAAACTAAGTTGAGTTATAGAATAGAAAGTCACAGTACTTACCCACCTGAGCTGATGGACTGAAATTCATCCTGCCACAAATACACACACACACATGCACATAAAAACACACAGAGCATGTGTATAGACACCGTTTAAGATTGGTGCCACTTGATAGACTATTATTTTTCACCTTGAACTATATGACAACTACAATATTCTATGTCATTAGAAATTTCCAAATTCATACTGTCTTAAAATGATTTGCATTAAAGGCAAAGCATTGTGTGTATTGTATGTATATAGGAAAACAGGTACAAAGGAGAGAAGCATTTCTTCATTATGGTGGCCTAGTAAATTCTTGTTTGCAAATATCACTGGAACCAGAATAGCTTGATGTGACCTACCAGATTTGCCTGAGTCTCACATTTACCAATGGTAGGCTTTCTCTACTATCACATTTTAGTCCTAAAGAAATGTCTTTCCAAGTTGATCTAGGATGGGAGTAGCAAATTTTTTCATTTACTTCATATCTGTCCAAATAAGCCTGCAAAAGCGTTATCTTCCTCTACAATATTATACTATCCCCAGCACAAAGACACATTTAGATATCCTAAATGGACAAGTCAAAGTGTAGATAATAAAAATTAACAAAAGAAGAATGGAAAACTATTAAAGACCTAACTTGCTTTCTTCTAGACTTTTGACTTCATTATCTGGGGAATATTCTTAATCCAAGAGACAAAACCAGGGGATAAACAAAAATTGTACATAAAATCTTCCATTTTAAATGAAGCTATCCAACTCAAAACAGTTCTAATGGGAATCAGCAAGCCCATTCAATTCCTGTTAGCAAATATGCTAAAAGAAACTAAATCAGTCAGTGCCTGTGAGGTGAGAAACAAGAGCAAATTGAAAAGCACCTCAAGTTTAAACATGAAGCAATTAAGAGAAAGAGACATGGCTAAATCTATCACAGTAAGCCTCCAGTCTATTAGCTTGTTTCTTAAAACTTGAAAGCAAAGTCAGAAACAAAAAAATCCTACTTAAATTCTTAAGTGCCATAATCAGAATGGGGCAAATGGTCTCCGTAAAACTGTTCACGTAAATGGATCAGGTGTCTGTCAAGAGTTGGGATTCAGGGATGCAAGGAGAAATCTCTACAGACACACATACACACATACACATGCACATACACACACACACACACACACACACCACCCCACTCCCATTTCCATGCTAAAACACACCCCCTCTAATCCTACAAAGTGTAGCATTTCCTCCTGAGGAGTACTTCCTTTGAGCAAAAGGATTACATTCAGAAAACCCTGCATAAGGCAGAAAACACCTCTGGAGGGATTAACATGACTAGCCTTTGCTGCAACCTGCAGGAATATGATTGCCGAGCAAGTAACAGGCAGTGCTCTGACTGGGGAAAACAACATGGTGTTCAGGAAGGGAACCCTGCTGGGAGCACCTTCATGAGCATCACTGGACTTTCAAAAGTAAGGTGCCTGATTAAGGAGAGTTAAAAGGAGAGGTGAGAGCCACCAAGGCCCTCACTATTCAAGAAATTCACTTTGGGGAAAAGGTTATGCAGTATTAAGGGCACAGGTTTTGGAATCAAAAGATCTAGGTTATAACCCTAGTCCTTTTCTTTACAAATAGTGTTAATCTTCTCAAATGCAAATTAGAATATAAATAATCATATGGTTTTAAGAACTCAAAGGGTAATGGCTAGTATCTATTAAACACTTTCTATGCACCAGTTACTCCATCTGGATTACATCAATGTTTCTCAAATTTTAATGTACACACAAGTCACTGAGACATCTTATTAAAATGCAGATGAGGTCGGGCGTGGTAGCACATGCGTATAATCCCAGCAATTCAAGAGGCCATGGCAGATGGATCACTTGAGGCCAGGAGCTTAAGACCAGTCTGGCCAACATGGTGAAATGAAAAATTAGCTGAGTGTGGTGGTGCACGCTTATAATCCCAGCGATCCCAGTGGCTGAGGCAGGAGAATCGCTTGAACCCACGAGGCGGAGGTTGCAGTGAGCCGAGATTGCACCACTGCACTCCAGCCTGGGCGACAGAGCGAGACCCTGTCTCAGAAAACAAAAACAAAAAAACAAACAACAACAACAACAAAAACAAATGCAGATGAATCAGCAGGTTTTGGGTGGGGCCGGAGCTTCTGCATTTCTAATAAGCTCCCAGGTGGCTGCTGTTGCTGGTGGTGGTTTACAGATCATAGTTTGAGTAGCAAGGGTTTATATCACTGAATCCTCACACCACACCTAGGAAGGCAGACTATTATTATCTATGCAAAGCCCCCTTTAGATGGGCTGGGGGAAAAGCACAAATGCTGTCATAGTGCTGGAATTTTTTAAAAAGACAGAAGGGAAGAAAGAAAGAAAGAAAGAAAGTAAGGCATTAGGCTGGCTTGTGTATGGCTTCTCCTTATTATTCAAGGTATAGACCCGAAGGCCAGCAGCCTCAGCATCACCTGGGAGCTTGTTAGAATGCGTACTCTCAGGCTTCAGGCTGGACCCACTGACTCCACATCTGCATTTTAGCAAGATCCCAGGGGATTCATGGGCATAATAAAGTGTAAGAAGCACTAGATTAAAGGGTTAGACTCAATTTTTAAATCGATATGCCTATTACTACTGAGAAATTTCCTTGTATAAAATTAAATTTTACATAAAAATTATAATTTTAAATAACAAAGGAAAACTATGAAATAAATCCCCTCCCCCTACATACACACACAGTAACAAGTAGAAATAGTCTTCCTAGTCACACCGTTTGTCAGAATGGCTCCACCACACTCTTGCTAAGATCTAACAATTTTGATTTAAAAAAAATCCTAACCAAAAGTAAAAACTAAACAACACTTTCAAGATAACTGCCCCTATATTCTATAAGTTGTCAAGTGCATAAAAAGTTGTAAACAAATTCTACTCCATTTAGGGCTCTTGAAATTCAACGCTAGGCATTACATATATTCTATTCCACAGATCTGCAAGGCTATATGTGCTTCTCCCATAAAGGATGTTAGGGAAACATTAGGAAGCTCAGATTCCATATTCAAGATGTCTATTTTATCTAAGAGGTGGTACAATTCTAGAGGAATTCTATCAAAGTTAAAGAACTACTGCAGAGGAAAAGAAAAGGGACTAATCAAACATCATTCGAGGAAAGACATCTTTACTGCATATTTGTGAGGCTTAGAAACTACCATCGGAAGAGCGATTTCTTAGCAAAATGACAGTGGACTGTCCCCTGCACATGGTCTTGGGATTGGTTGGGCCTAACTGAGGAGGCCCTTGCAGAACTCTGTCCAAAGTGCTCTGTAGGGAAGGAGAAAGGGAATGCCAGTCAGAGACAAAAGCTACAGAACAGGGAGCTGTGTTGTCCTGTCTCTCTCACACAGAGAAGAGCCTATGGCTATTAATCCCACTGTTATTCTTAACAGATGGGACTCAGTCAGTACATTTACATTTCCTAAAGACAGGAAGGGCTGAGATTCAGACCAGACTAGAGAAGAGACTTTTCAGTAATTACACATGAGCAAAGCATCCTCCCGAATCTTGGCTCACCACTTACTTGCTGATGATTGCCAGCAAGTTACTTAACCTGCATGTACCTCAGTTTCCTCATCTGAAAAATACAGGTGATAATGGGAGCTACTTCATAGACATTTTATACAGACTGAGTTAATATTTCTAAAGCACCCGGGTCAGGTGGTTTGGAGAGAAAGGCTGGAGTCTGCTTGTGGCAGCTCTTGAATGACTTGCTTTGGGGTGGATCTTAAAAACAACAAACCTGCATGTTCTGCACATGTATCCCAGATCTTAAAGTATAAAAAAAACAAACAAACAAACAAACAAAAAAAAACAAGAGGAAGACATTCAAGGCTTTGGATGGCATAAAAGTCAAAGTAACACAGAATATCTTTCCAGATATAACAACGCAAGACTTTTCTTCTTTGTCCTTGCATATAAATTCACTCATATATATCTTGAAAAAATGCTCAATGTCCTCATTTATTGTATTTTTTCATTTCAGTTTTTATTCATCTTTTGATTTTTACAATTGTTTTAAAATTTCTGGAGGGCTTACATTCATATTGCTTTAATAATTGTATTGCTATCATCACTAAGCCAAACTATAAGTATAGTTTGTAGTATGAAAATGTAGACCATGACAAAGGACATTCTTTTTCCCATCTTAATTGCTATCAAGAAAAATAACTGTTTAAAGCAAGCAAGACTTAATGTATTATATACCCATTATCAGCAAAATATTAGACTCATTGATTTCATAATTTATAAATGTAAGAATAAAGAGCCCCAGGGGTATGCTCCAAATGAGGCTAGGTTCAGGAATACAGAATTAATCATCCCACCTAGTGTTAAAACATCAGATTTATTATATTTAATTAAGTAACTCAATGATCTCTCCAACTCTAAGTTGTCTTTATACCAAGTATGGAAATACAGATATTAGCAGTCAAGGAAAGCATACAATCTTCAAATAGGATCATTTTCCTTATGAATAATTTTTGTCCTATTTGATCTAATTTTTTTTTCAACAAAGTACTGGTCGCCTGGTTCCCGCCTCACAGTCTCATCTCTGAGTCCAGTGATGGTGGGGAGGGGACATTTTCTTAGAGCCTCCACCCACTCCATCAACAGGGCCTCTCCTTCTGTATGCAGCCCATATTTGGTGTGAGCGCCCACTCAGTCCCCACACATGCTCAAGGGAGACTGAGATAAATACATGCTTCTTCTATTCCTCCCTCAGGTGGACAATTCTGATAAGCATCCTATTAAACATGCTGACAAAAAGGTACTGGTGGCATCAAGCCTCAGCCACCCACAGCAGGCCTGGGTGGTCCCTTCTTTGCCTTTTCACTTCCAACCTCACCTCCCACATAAACTACCTGATCACAAGTCTTTTTCTCAGGCTCTACTTTTGGGGGCTCTCTGGCCACAAGAGCCTGAAAGCACAAATCTAACACTGTACAGGGAAATAGTCATTTTGGCAAATTAAAGTGATGTCAAATATTTATACTAGTCCGTATCTATGGTCTGTCTATATTATAGAAGGGATATTCATTGAAGAAAATGAGTAGTGTTATATAAATATTCCCAACAGCAGTTTGACTTTATTTCATTCTTTTATTATTTTAAAGACTATCTGGGAAAGCTTTGAATGTATACAACAGTCATTTTGTCACTGCCATTGACATTTCCCCAGATCCTGGTTGACAATCCTACATTAAATCCAGGAATGTGCTAAATTGGGTGATAAGGCAGAAGGTTGAGCTTATGCCAGATATAATGACTATTGTAGCCTTTGTTTTAAATTGGGACATGTCAAAGATTACTTTTTAATGAAGATTCACTGATTATTAAGCAGTACCTTATTATCTTGGCAAAGTGATTTTATACAAAAATATCTTTATTAATAAAGAGAATGTGTTCAACACAGCTTTTTGAAAGCATCACTGCCACAGATAGAAATAATACAGAAGGCATAGGAATAAAGTCCAAGGTAACAGAACAATGATCTTTGTGTGAGAAAAATATTAAATAGGAAGGCATATAATCTTAAATATACTCAAAATATAAAATGCATCTGGAAACTCAGAAAACCCTATCTGAAAAATACAAAGAAGCATCTGGAAACTCTGGATCCAAGGCAGAGAAAGGAAGGAATTGTGCAAAATTCAGGGCCTTCTGTGCTGTTCTATATTGAGGAAAAGCAGGGGATAAAGGGACATAAAAAGCTCTGTCTTTAGTAGTTTGGGGAAATGTGTGTGGGGAGAACTAGGCACAACTAGCTGCAGGCCATACCATGATTTTCCCCATACTGTAGATGAGGAAACTGAGGCTCAAAATAACTTTCTCATGCTTCCAAAGCTCCAAGTGGCAGAGCAGCCGAGCCCTTGACTCATATGCTGTGTCATTTTTCTTGTTTTAACCAGGGCTGTCTCCACAGTGCCTACATGGCACCTGCTACATATGATGATCAATAAGTGTTTGTTTGGAATAAATGATTAAATGAAGGAATGATTAAGAAAAGGACAACGTGAGCACCTTTCCAGTCTCCCTTGGGGCATCAGGAGGCTACCCACACAAAAACAGTTTCACTGCTGATAACCCAGCAGAGTGAACCTCAAAGTTGGCTCTGCTAATATTGTAGTACCAGAGCATCCACTGTAGTGTGAGCAGGACAAGAAATATCTTACAGGTGCCTAAAATGTCTTTAATGAGTATAGGATATTGATCCCAAATTAGAAATTAAATGCTTCAAAAGAAAATGCCTAGTGGAGATAACCATGCATTGAAAGTCATTGCTATATCATTAGTCTAAATGACTAATGACAATGTTTTCCACTATTGTGTTAATTTGCTGGGGTGCAAGTTGTCAGCAAGTCAGCCTCCATGGGAGTCAGAGCAGTTACCAAATGGGGAAAAGGGAGCAGAAGGAAGAGGTACAACATGAAGAAACTGAAAAATTGCAAAACGTGAAGAAACTGCAAAACTCTGCTTCCATGGAACAAGTTTACCTTAAACTGGGCTAGAGTAAAAAGAATCTGCTCCTAGAGGAATTCTCAAACAAGTATGACTTAGAAGACCCACAGCTCTGTTTGCCAAACTTACAAAAAAATATTCTGTTTTTCTAACACAGTCAACCTCATTATAACCAAGCCCCTTAACTAAAAGTCTCAGACTGAATACGCTAGTTTCCAGCTAGGAAAACAGAACACTTTCTGGTTATTTCCAACTGAGTGACTGGTAACAAAAGCATTGAAATACAGTTTTAACAGGGAATTGGTTGCAAACATGTTGAAAGGGCTAAAGGAAGAAAACAGGATGGTGGCTGTACCCACGGCCCAGGAATTCTTCCTCTTTCTGAATCTGCCAGAGTCCCCATGGCAGAATTGGCACTGAGGTGGAGCAGAGACCTAATGCTTGCCACACTCTGACTTTGCTGGGCTCGAGAGTCCACAGGCTCACTGATCTGAGGGAGCCACCATCAATGCTGCACGGTGCAGGGGGCTGCACACGCACTCGCACTGCTGCAGAAGCAAAGGGGCTGCTGCCTTCCTTTCGCCTTCTGTTCTCAGGCGCGTCTTCTTCTAGCAGCTCATAATCAAAACCCAGTGGGCAGATGAGTCTTAAAAATGAAGTTTTCAAACTTGCCTCCCTGGGAGGACAGGAAAAATGTAAAATAAATAAATAAATAAATAAATAAATAAATAAATAAATAAATAGCAGATATAGGGCTTACTAGTAACAAACAGCAAGTGTAATGCCGTACCGAGGCAGCTTATTCTATGGATTTTACATGTAAATGTTGGAGATATAAAGTTTTTACAAGGACCTACTCAATTGGTACATTTTTAATCCCTGGTATTGGGCTGGCATGTGTCCAAGATGGTGTAGTTTAGGAAATTAGTCAAATATTCTGAATTACAAATCGTCAAATTACTATCCATGTACTTTATAAGGCCTTTAAAAAATTCCTATATCATGAATTGCATTTTCATATTTGAGGCCTACATATTGTCATTTAATAAAGACTCAGCTTTTAAAACATGTAAAAAATGTTTAGTTCTTTACTTCCTCATTATTGGTATTTTTGTGTAGCTGATGTGTTTTAAAATGATAGTTTGTTTCTAAGTAGAAAAGATCTTCTTTCCTCCATAGCTGAGGTTCTATAATTGTCCTTTTGTTTATAAGAAGGTCTCCAAAATAGTTCATCTTTATTGAATGGTAAGAGAAGAGATTAGGAGATTTAGTATCTTTTTGCTCTTCCAAGATTTAATTTCTGTTCTCATCAAAACTATAAACTCTTCAAAAATACAGGTTATGTCCCCATCTTCCTGGCTATTTCACCCCAGCAAACTGAAGGATTGAGGACACTCTGTAATTACTACAGGATGAAAGGATACTTACTGATTGTCTGGTTATTATTACCATTATGAAAGCAACATTTATTAAGTATCTATTTTGTTCATGGAAGTAGGCACTGGAGGTATAAAGAAATTAAGAAGTGCCCAAAAGGAGACTACAGCTTGATAAGGGAAACTAGACATCTTTAAAGGTAAATAAAAATGTATATTAAAAAGAACAATAAAACTGTCTTACTCATAGGATGAGTGACATATATAAAAATGCTAACATAGTGCTAAACTAATAAATGTTAGCTTTTTTACTGTTGATGTTACCATTATGTGTCAAGTGACTTGTGCACAGTAAATGCTATAGAACTTCAGGAGACATCACATCTTTTGCATGTCCCAGTTTAAAACAAAGACTAATCTCACCATGAGTGGATTAATAAAGAGAGTGGAAAGGATTTCTGAAGACTTGTTGTACAAACTGAGTCCTGAAAAACAGGTAGATATTTACAATAAGAGGAAGAGTAGACTAATCTTGTCACTGTTCCACAAACTTCATGTCTTTCTTATGCATACTAAGTAGTTTGCTCTGATTCAAGACTGACAGAGAAAGAATGAATTATGAAGATTCACCATAACTCTTTAATAGACAGAGTTACATTTGTAGCAAAAAGGATAGGATTCTGGAAAGATGACATTTTTTAACTTCTACCACCTCCCAATTTTAACCCATTTTTCTCTTCTAAACCTAGCAGCTGCTAAGGCCTGTAGGTAAAGGAAGCCAAGTCCATGTACCTTCCAGGAAAAGATGATCAGAGCAAGAAGCCTGAGGGGAGCTTGGCCCACAGAAGTTCCTATCTCCCTCCGTGCTCCAAGGCCTACATAGCCCATGTAAGCATGCCCACTCCTGAGGAGCTGGAGGGGAGACAAGCCAGTTGGCTGCCTTCTTTCTGGCCCCAGGGGCTGGAAGTCCTAACTGCAGGGGCTTTCTCCCAGTGCAAGAGACTAAAACCTACCTGTAACTCCTCTACCAACCCACAGGTAAAGACACCATCAGTCTTCACAGCTCTTGGAGTTCTCCCCATTTAAGGTACCCTAGCAAATGGATCAGAGACCCATTGAGCAGGCAAGGGAAAATAACAACACATGTAAGGGAGCCCGGAAGTCAGAGAGAAAAAGCGTCTCAGAATTTTCCCTAAAAAGGATGACTCCTAATGATAACCAGCCAACACATTTATGTAACCACCTCCCCAAAAGAAAAGAAAAGAAAAAGATTAAAACATTCAAGGGGTGAATTTAAGGAGAAGAGGGTTCCTATGTTGAAACAAGTTAGTGAACTGAAAATCAAGAAGAAATATCTCACAGCTCAAAACAAACATATAAAAATACAGAAATAATAAGTGAAAACATAAACAACTTGTAAGATAAATATAGGAGACCAAACATGCAAATAACATCAACGAAAGAAGACATTTAAGCTAGAAGAGAGGCAAAAATTAAACAGATTATTAAAAAATAGAAGACAATAGGAAAAAAATCACTCAGCTGAAGGGAGAAATTGGTCTTCAGATTATAAGGGATCATCATGTCCCACACATGCCCAAACAGCCTAAAATAGGGTAAATCTGAAAGTAAGCACACGGCTGAGACCACTTTTTTATTTACGGCTGAGCTCAGAATAGTGCCTTCCACATAGTAAGCACTCAATGAATATTTTTAAATGAATGAAAAATACTTTCTTACAAGCTTTCAGAGAGAAAGAACTAAGTATTTTAAAAGGTAAAATCAGACTGGCATTAATCTCCTCATGCAAAATTGGAAGTTAGATCAGGCAGAACAAAAAGAGAACAAAAACTGTGTGCCCCAAAGGTTCCATACACAGTCTTTTCCTATGAGACAACATTTCCCTATTAGACTGAGAGAAAGATAATTGTGCACTTGCTAGTTTTTGATATCACCCACATATCTGAAGAAAAACGTCTAAGAATGATGTCAAGAAGCAAATGTATCAGAACACAGATCTCAGGATAGAAAAGAATGAGGAAGAAAAGAAAAAATAGTGAGAAATTCTCATTCACAGAGCTTATTTCCAGAATATTAAGGTGGCTCAATATCAGGACTCTATCAACATTATCACTTACGTTAACGAATTAAAGGATAAATGTGTCATAGATGCAGAAAAGTTATCTTTGGTAAAATTCAGCAGCTATTTATTTAAATACTAAGGAAAATTGTTATATGAAAGCAGAGGTAAAATATGCAAATACCATTTACCAATTACCAGCAGTGAATATCATTCAAAACTGTGTAATACTAACCCATTAAAATTAAAATTAATTAATTAAAATAAATTAATTAAAATCAATAATCAATAGACAGTGATGCTATTATTGTCATTATTATTCAATAATGTATGGATTTTGGTAAATCCATTAAGACCAAAACATTTATAAATGATATATAATATATTATATATATATTATATATATAAGTATCGGATTTCTTTTGCCAGTGATATGAGTGTAGACTTAGAAAACATAAAATTCAATAGTCTAAAAAAATGAAAATCATAAAATTAGGTAAAGTGGGTAGATTAAAAGTAGCAGTTGTTCTCCATATTAGTAAAAAAACAACTAGAAATACAAATGGAAGGCAATGCTATTCATGGTAGCAACAAAAACTGTAAAATAAATATAACTATAAAAGCCCTAGATGAAGAAAACCATAAAATGTTATTATAAAGGACATCTGATTAAATGAAAAGACATGCCATGTTCTTCATTGTCATATAACATGGATGTTCATTCCCATAAAATTTATTTATAAATGGAATGATTTCCAATCAGAATCCCAACAGGGCTTTGAGCGTCATGGGAAAAGCAACAGAACTAGGGTATAATCTCAAGGTCCATAGGAAAAATTAAATACCCAAGAACAGTCAAGAAAATGCAAAAGAAGAATAGTGAGGGAGCACAAGCGTAGTGTGAAATCAAAACAGACTGGAACGAATCAGTGCTGACAGAGAACTAGGCAAATCCATCAGTGAAAGAAGACAGAAACTCCAGAAATAGATCCCCAAATATATAAGAATCTCATATGTGATAAAGACGGTATTTCAAATAATTGAAGAAGTGGGAGTTAATGTAATAAATGGTGCTGTCACAACTGGCTATCCTTTTTTTCTGGCCTTAAAGGAATGATAAGGGCTGGAGTGCAGTGGCACTATCTTGGCTCACTGCAAACTCTGCCTCCCGGGCTCAAGCGATTCTCCTGCCTCAGCCTCCTGAGTAGATTGGACTACAGGCACCTCCACCATGCCTGGCTAATTTTTGTATTTTTCGTAGAGATGGGGTTTTTCCATGTTGCCAGGCTGGTCTCGAACTCCTGATCTCAGGCAATCTGCCTGCCCCGGCCTCCCAAAGTAGTGAGCCACTGCGCCCAGCCCATAATTTTTTTTAATTAGTTAATTTTTAAAAATTGACAAAAGACTACATAATTAGAGTGTACAACGTGACAATATATGTATACACTGTGGAATGGCTAGATTAAGCTAATTAAGGTATCTATTACTTCACATGCTCTTTTTGTGGTGAGGACATTTAAAATCTACTCTGCAATTTTCTTTTTTTTCAACTTTTATTTCAGGTGTACATGTGCAGGTTTGTTATATAGGTAAACTCAGGTCACAGGGGTTTGTTGTACAAATTATTTCATCACCCATGTACCATGTACTAAGCCTAGTATCCAATTGTTATTTTTCCCAAATCTCTCCCTCCTTTCACCCCACACCCTCAAGTAGGCCCCAGTGTCTGTTGTTCCCCTCTTTGTGTCCATGTGTTCTCATCACTTAGCTCCCATTTATAAGAGAGAACATATGGTATTTGGTTTTCTGTTCCTGCGTTGAGTTTGCTAAGGACAGTGGCCTCCAGCTCCATCCGTGTTCCTGCAAAGGGCATGATCTCATTCTTTTTTTATGGCTGCTGAGTGTTCCATGGTGCATATGTACCACATTTTCTTTATCCAATCTATCATTGATGGGCATTTAGGTTGATTCCATGTCTTTGCTATTGTGAATAGTACTGCAGTGAACATTCGTGTTCGTGTGTCTTTATGGTAGAATGATTTATATTCCTTTGGATATATACCCAGCAATGGGACTTCTGGGTTGAATGGTATTTCTGTTTTGAGCTCTTTGAGGAATTGCCACACTGCTCTCCACAATGGTCACATCTATTTACATTCCCAGCAACAGTGTAAAAGTGTTCTCTTTTCTCCACAACCTCATCAGAATCTGTTATTTTTTTCTTTTTTTATTTTTTTGGCTTTGAAATACTCATTCTGACTTGTGTGAGATGGTATTTCATTGTGGCTTTGATTTGCATTTCTCTAATGATCAGTGATATTGAGCTTTTTTCATTTGCTTCTTGGCTGCATGTATGTCTTCTTTTGAAAAGTCTGTTCATATTCCTCTGCCCACTTATTTATGTGGTTGTTTTTTGCTTATAAACTTATTTAAGTTACTTATAGACGCTCAACATTAGACCGTTGTCAGGTGCATAGTTTGAAAATATTTTCTCACATTTTGTAGGTTGTCTGTTTACTCTGTTGATAGTTTCTTTTGCTTTGCAGAAGAACTTAAGTTTAATTAGATCCCATTTGTCAATTTTTCTTCTGTTGTAATTGCTTTTGGTGTCTTCATCATGAAATCTTCGCCCAATCTATGTCCAGAATGGTATGCCTAGGTTATCTTCCAGGGCTTGTATAGTTTTGGATTTTACATTTAAGTCTTTAATCCATCTTGAGTTGGATTTATGCATAGGGTTTCAGGAAGGGGTCCAGTTAATCTGCATATGGCTAGCCAGTTATCCCAGTACTATTTATTGGAAAAGGAGTCTTTTCCCCATTGCTTGTTTTCATCAGCTTTGTCAAAGATCAGATGGTTGTAGGTATGTGGCCTTATTTCTGGGCTCTCTAATCTGGTCCATTGGTCTATATGTCTGTTTTTGTACCAATACTATGCTGTTTTGTATACTATAGCCCTGTAGTATAGTTTGAAGTTGGGTAACGTGATGCCTCCAGCTTTGTTCTTTTTGCTCAGGATTGCCTTGGCTATTCAGGCTCTTTTTTAATTCCATATGAAATTTAAAATAGTTTTTTTTCTAGTTCTGTGAAGAATGTCATCATTAGTTTGAAAGGAATAGCACTGAATCTGTAAATTGCTTTGGGCAGTATGGACATTTTAATGATATTGATTCTTCTTCTCTAAGATCATGGAATATTTTTACATTTGTTTGTGTCATCTCTGATTTCTTTGAGAAGTGTTTTGTAATTCTCGTTGTAAAGATCTTTCCCCTCCCTGGTTAGCTGTACTCCTAGGTATTTTTTTCTTTTTGTGGCAACTGTGAGTGGAATCTTGTTCCTGATTTGGCTTTTGGCTTGGCTGTTATTTGTGTATAGAAATGCTAATAATTTTTGTACATGGATGTTATACTCTGAAAGTTTGCCGAAGTTGTTTATCAACTGAAGGAGCTTTTGGGCTGAGATGAAAAACTCACTGCTGGGGTTTTCTAGATATAGAATCATGCTTTCTGTAAATGGGTAGTTTGACCTCCTGTTTTCCTAGTTGGAGGAAATCTTGCCTGATTGCCTTTGCCGGAACTTCCAATACTATGTTGAATAGGATTGGTGAGAGAGGGCATGCTTGTCTTGTGTTGGTTTTCAAGAAGAATGCTTCCAGCTTTTGTACATTCAGTATGATGTTGGTTGTGGGTTTATCATAGATGGCTCTTATTATTTTGAGGTATGTTCCTTCAACACCTAGTTTATTGAGAGTTTTTAGTATGAAGGGATGTCGAATTTCGTTGAAAGCCTTTTCTGCATCTATTGAGATAGTCATGTTATTTTTGTCTTTAGTTTTGTTTATGTGATGAATCACATTATTGATTTGTGTATGTTGAACCAACCTTGCATTTCAAGGATTAAGCCTACTTGATCATGATGGATTAGCTTTTTGATGTGCTGCTGGATTATGTTTACAGGTATTTTGTTCAGGATTTTTGCCTCATTGTTCATGGAAGATATTGGCCTGAACTTTCTTTTGTTGTTGTGTCTTTGCCAGGTTTTATGATCAGGATGATGCTGGCCTCATAAAATGAGTTGGGGAGAAGTCCCTCCTCCTCAATTTTTTGGAATAGTTTCAGGTGGAATGGTACCGGTTCTTTATACATCTGGTAGATTTCAGCTGTGAATCCATCTGGTCCTGGCCTTTTTTTTTTTTTTTTTTTTGGTTGGTAGGCTATTTATTACTGATTCAGCATCAGAGCTTGTTATTGGTCTGTTCATGGAATCAGTTTCTTCATGGTCCATTCTTGGGAGGGTGTATGTGTTCAGGAATTTACCCAACTCTTCTAGGTTTCTAGTTTGTGTGCACTGTTTCAAGTCAGTGGTAACATCCCCTTTGTCACTTTTAATTGTGTTTATTTGGATCTTCTCTCTTTTCTTCTTTATTAGTCCAGCTAGAGGCCTATCTAATTAATGTTTTCAGAAAGCAAACTCCTGAATTTGTTAACATTTTGAATGGATTTTTTGTGTCTCTATTTCCTTCAGTACAGTTCTGATTTTAATTATTTCTTGTCTTCTGCTAGCTTTGCAGTTGATTTGTTCTTGATTTTCTAATTCTTTTGGATGTGAGGTTATGTTGTTAATTTATCTTTCAAACTTCTTTTTTTTTATTATTATACTTTCAGTTTTAGGGTACATGTGCACATTGTGCAGGTTAGTTACATACGTATACATGTGCCATGCTGGTGCACTGCACCCACTAACTCGTCATCTAGCATTAGGTATATCTCCCAATGCTATCCCTCCCCCCTACCCCCACCCCACCACAGTCCTCAGAGTGTGATATTCCCTTTCCTGTGTCCATGTGATCTCATTGTTCAATTCCCACTTATGAGTGAGAATATGCGGTGTTTGGTTTTTTGTTCTTGCGATAGTTTACTGAGAATGATGCTTTCCAATTTCATCCATGTCCCTACAAAGGACATGAGCTCATCATTTTTTATGGCTGCATAGTATTCCATGGTGTATATGTGCCACATTTTCTTAATCCAGCCTATCATTGTTGGACATTTTGTTTGGTTCCAAGTCTTTGCTATTGTGAATAATGCCGCAATAAACATACGTGTGCATGTGTCTTTATAGCAGCATGATTTATAATTCTTTGGGTATATACCCAGTAATGGGTTGGCTGGGTCAAATGGTATTTCTAGTTCTAGATCCCTGAGGAATCGCCACACTGACTTCCACAATGGTTGAACTAGTTTACAGTCCCACCAACAGTGTAAAAGTGTTCCTATTTCTCCACATCCTCTCCAACACCTGTTGTTTCCTGACTTTTTAATGATTGCCATTCTAACTGCTGTGAGATGGTATCTCATTGTGGTTTTGATTTGCATTTCTCTGATGGCCAGTGATGCTGAGCATTTTTTCATGTGTTTTTTGGCTGCATAAATGTCTTCTTTTGAGAAGTGTCTGTTCATGTCCTTCGCCCACTTTTTGATGGGGTTGTTTGTTTTTTTCTTGTAAATTTGTTTGTGTTCATTGTAGATTCTGGATATTAGCCCTTTGTCAGATGAGTAGGTTGCGAAAATTTTCTCCCATTTTGTTGGTTGCCTGTTCACTCTGATGGTAGTTTCTTCTGCTGTGCAGAAGCTCTTTAGTTTAATTAGATCCCATTTGTCAATTTTGGCTTTCGTTGCCATTGCTTTTGGTGTTTTAGACATGAAGTCCTTGCCCATGCCTATGTCCTGAATGGTAATGTCTAGGTTTTCTTCTAGGGTTTTTATGGTTTTCGGTCTAATGTGTAAGTCTTTAATCCATCTTGAATTGATTTTTGTATAAGGTGTAAGGAAGGGATCCAGTTTCAGCTTTCTACATATGGCTAGCCAGTTTTCCCAGCACCATTTATTAAATAGGGAATCCTTTCCCCATTGCTTGTTTTTCTCAGGTGTGTCAAAGATCAGATAGTTGTAGATATGCGGCATTATTTCTGAGGGCTCTGATCTGTTCCATTGATCTATATGTCTGTTTTGGTACCAGTACCATGCTGTTTTGGTTACTGTAGCCTTGTAGTATAGTTTGAAGTCAGGTAGTGTTATGCCTCCAGCTTTGTTCTGTTGGCTTAGGATAGACTTGGCGATGCGGGCTCTTTTTTGGTTCCATATGAACTTTAAAGTAGTTTTTTCCAATTCTGTGAAGAAAGGCATTGGTAGCTTGATGGGGATGGCATTGAATCTGTAAATTACCTTGGGCAGTATGGCCATTTTCATGATATCGATTCTTCCTACCCATGAGCATGGAATGTTCTTCCATTTGTTTGTATCCTCTTTTATTTCCTTGAGCAGTGGTTTGCAGTTCTCCTTGAAGAGGTCCTTCACATCCCTTGTAAGTTGGATTCCTAAGTATTTTATTCTCTTTGAAGCAATTGTGAATGGGAGTTCACTCATGATTTGGCTCTCTGTTTGTCTGTTGTTGGTGTATAAGAATGCTTGTGATTTCTGTAGATTGATTTTGTATCCTGAGACTTTGCTGAAGTTCTTTATCAGCTTAAGGAGATTTTGGGCTGAGACAATGGTGTTTTCTAGATATACAATCATGTCGTCTGCAAACAGGGACAATTTGACTTCCTCTTTTCCTAATTGAATACCCTTTATTTCCTTCTCCTGCCTAATTGCCCTGGCCAGAACTTCCAACATTATGTTGAATAGGAGTGGTGAGAGAGGGCATCCCTGTCTTGTGCCAGTTTTCAAAGGGAATGCTTCCAGTTTTTGCCCATTCAGTATGATATTGGCTGTGGGTTTGTCATAGATAGCTCTTATTATTTTGAAATACGTCCCATCAATACCTCATTTATTGAGAGTTTTTAGCATGAAGCGTTGTTGAATTTTGTCAAAGGCCTTTTCTGCATCTATTGAGATAATCATGTGGTTTTTGTCTTTGGCTCTGTTTATATGCTGGATTACATTTATTGATTTGTGTATATTGAACCAGCCTTGCATCCCAGGGATGGAGCCCACTTGATCATGGTGGATAAGCTTTTTGATGTGCTGCTGGATTCGGTTTGCCAGTATTTTATTGAGGATTCTTGCATCAATGTTCATCAAGGATATTGGTCTAAAATTCTCTTTTTTGGTTGTGTCTCTGCCCGGCTTTGGTATCAGAATGATGCTGGCCTCATAAAATGAGTTAGGGAGGATTCCCTCTTTTTCTATTGATTGGAATAGTTTCAGAAGGAATAGTATCAGTTCCTCCTTGTACCTCTGGTAGAATTCGGCTGTGAATCCATCTGGTCCTGGACTCTTTTTGGTTGGTAAACTATTGATTATTGCCACAATTTCAGATCCTGTTATTGGTCTATTCAGAGATTCAACTTCTTCCTGGTTTAGTCTTGGGAGAGTGTATGTGTCGAGGAATTTATCCATTTCTGCTAGATTTTCTAGTTTATTTGCATAGAGGTGTTTGTAGTATTCTCTGATGGTAGTTTGTATTTCTATGGGATCGGTGGTGATACCCCTTTATCATTTTTTATTGTGTCTATTTGATTCTTCTCTCTTTTTTTCTTTATTAGTCTTCCTAGTGGTCTATCAATTTTGTTGATCCTTTCAAAAAACCAGCTCCTGGATTCATTAATTTTTTGAAGGGCTTTTTGTGTCTCTATTTCCTTCAGTTCTGCTCTGATTTTAGTTATTTCTTGCCTTCTGCTAGCTTTTGAATGTGTTTGCTCTTGCTTTTCTAGTTCTTTTAATTGTGATGTTAGGGTGTCAATTTTGGATCTTTCCTGCTTTCTCTTGTGGGCATTTAGTGCTATAAATTTCCCTCTACACACTGCTTTGAATGCATCCCAGAGATTCTGGTATGTTGTGTCTTTGTTCTCGTTGGTTTCAAAGAACATCTTTATTTCTGCCTTCATTTTGTTATGTACCCAGTAGTCATTCAGGAGCAGGTTGTTCAGTTTCCATGTAGTTGAGCAGTTTTGAGTGAGTTTCTTAATCCTGAGTTCTAGTTTGATTGCACTGTGGTCTGAGAGATAGTTTGTTATAATTTCTGTTCTTTTACATTTGCTGAGGAGAGCTTTACTTCCAACTATGTGGTCAATTTTGGAATAGGTGTGGTGTGGTGCTGAAAAAAATGTATATTCTGTTGATTTGGGGTGGAGAGTTCTGTAGATATCTATTAGGTCCGCTTGGTGCAGAGCTGAGTTCAATTCCTGGGTATCCTTGTTGACTTTCTGTCTCGTTAATCTGTCTAATGTTGACAGTGGGGTGTTAAAGTCTCCCATTATTAATGTGTGGGAGTCTAAGTCTCTTTGTAGGTCACTCAGGACTTGCTTTATGAATCTGGGTGCTCCTGTATTGGGCGCATATATATTTAGGATAGTTAGCTCTTCTTGTTGAATTGATCCCTTTACCATTATGTAATGGCCTTCTTTGTCTCTTTTGATCTTTGTTGGTTTAAAGTCTGTTTTATCAGAGACTAGGATTGCAACCCCTGCCTTTTTTTGTTTTCCATTTGCTTGGTAGATCTTCCTCCATCCCTTTATTTTGAGCCTATGTGTGTCTCTGCACGTGAGATGGGTTTCCTGAATACAGCACACTGATGGGTCTTGACTCTTTATCCAATTTGCCAGTCTGTGTCTTTTAATTGGAGAATTTAGCCCATTTATATTTAAAATTAATATTGTTATGTATGAATTTGATCCTGTCATTATGATGTTAGCTGGTTATTTTGCTCGTTAGTTGATGCAGTTTCTTCCTAGTCTCGATGGTCTTTACATTTTGGCATGATTTTGCAGCAGCTGTTACCAGTTGTTCCTTTCCATGTTTAGCACTTCCTTCAGGAGCTCTTTTAGGGCAGGCCTGGTGGTGACAAAAATCTCTCAGCATTTGCTTGTCTGTAAAGTATTTTATTTCTCCTTCACTTATGAAGCTTAGTTTGGCTGGATATGAAATTCTGGGTTGAAAATTCTTTTCTTTAAGATTGTTGAATATTGGCCCCCACTCTTTTCTGGCTTGTAGGGTTTCTGCCGAGAGATCTGCTGTTAGTCTGATGGGCTCCCCTTTGAGGGTAACCCAACCTTTCTCTCTGGCTGCCCTTAACATTTTTTCCTTCATTTCAACTTTGGTGAATCTGACAATTATGTATCTTGGAGTTGCTCTTCTCGAGGAGTATCTTTGTGGCATTCTCTGTATTTCCTGAATCTGAACATTGGCCTGCCTTGCTAGATTGGGGAAGTTCTCCTGGATAATATCCTGCAGAGTGTTTTCCAACTTGGTTCCATTCTCCCCATCACTTTCAGGTACACCAATCAGACGTAGATTTGGTCTTTTCACATAGTCCCATATTTCTTGGAGGCTTTGCTCATTTCTTTTTATTCTTTTTTCTCTAAACTTCCCTTCTTGCTTCATTTCATTCATTTCATCTTCCATTGCTGATACCCTTTCTTCCAGTTGATCGCATTGGCTCCTGAGGCTTCTGCATTCTTCACGTAGTTCTCGAGCCTTGGTTTTCAGCTCCATCAGCTCCTTTAAGCACTTCTCTGTATTGGTTATTCTAGTTATACATTCTTCTAAATTTTTTTCAAAGTTTTCAACTTCTTTTCCTTTGGTCTGAATGTCCTCCCGTAGCTCAGAGTAATTTGATCGTCTGAAGCCTTCTTCTCTCAGCTCGTCAAAGTCATTCTCCATCCAGCTTTGTTCCGTTGCTGGTGAGGAACTGCGTTCCTTTGGAGGAGGAGAGGCACTCTGCTTTTTAGAGTTTCCAGTTTTTCTGTTCTGTTTTTTCCCCATCTTTGTGGTTTTATCTACTTTTGGTCTTTGATGATGGTGATGTACAGATGGGTTTTTGGTGTGGATGTCCTTTCTGTTTGTTAGTTTTCCTTCTAACAGACAGGACCCTCAGCTGCACGTCTGTTGGAATACCCTGCCGTGTGAGGTGTCTTGATGAAGGCATTTAATGCTACGAAATTCCCTCTTAACACTTCCTTAGCTGTGTCCCAGAGATTTTCTTATCTTTGTTTCCCTCTTAACACTATCTTAGCTGTGTCCCAGAGATATTGTATCTTTGTCCTCGTTAGTTTCAAAGAACTTCTTAATTTCTGCCTTAATTTAATTATTTACCCAAAAGTCACCCAGGAACATGTTGTTTATTTTCCATGTAATTTCATGATTTTTAGTGATTTTCTTCATCTTGACTTTTATTTTTATTGCACTGTGGTCTAAGAATGTGTTTGGTATGATTTTGGTTATTTTGCATTTGCTGAGAATTGTTTCATGTCCAATTATGTGGTCGATTTTAGGGTATGCACCATGTGGCGATGAGAAGAATGTATATTCTCTTGTTTTAGTGTGGAGAGTTCTGTAGAGGTCTATCAGATCCATTTGGTCCAATGTTGAGTTCAGGTCCTGAATATCTTTGTTAATTTTCTGCCTCAGTGATCTGTCTAATACTGTCAAGTGGAGTGTTGAAGTCTCCCACTATTACTGTGTGGGAGTGTACATCTCTTTGTAGGCCTCTAAGAACTTGCTTTATGAATCTGGGTGCTTCTGTGTTGGGTGCATATATATTTAGAATAGTTAATTCTTCTTGCTGAATTGAATCCTTTACCATTATGTAATACCCTTCTTTGTCTTTTTGTATCTTTGTTAGTTTAAAGTCTGTTTTGTCTGAAATTAGGGTTGCAACTCCTGCTTTTTTTAATTTCCATTTGCTTAGTAGATTTTTCTCCATCCCTTTATTCTGAGCCTGTGGGTATCATTACCTATGAAATGGGTCTCTTGAAGACAGCATACCATTCAGTCTTGCTTTTTTATCCTGCTTGCCACTCTGTGCCTTTTATGTGGGCTCTACTCCAGAGAGATGCAGGTCAGCAATTTCTCAGTGCAATCAGCCTGGGATGGGGAATCTGAGCTATGGGACCAAGCTGGGGTTCTCTGCCTAGTGACAAGCAAGGGGGGTGGCTGAGACCCATGAGAGACAGACTGGCATCTTTTTAGGTTAACTTCAGCTTGTTGGAGATATTGGTAAGACATTGAGGTTCTTTGTTACTTTGTTAGTCTGAGGGTAGCAGGTGTAGTACCACTGCAGAGGCAGTGGCAGGGAGGCTTTCTGTTGCCCCTGGGGCTCCACCTTTGAGAAACCCAAAGTTGCTGTTACTGAAAGTGCTCAGCCAGTGGGGTGGCATGGCTGCACTGCTGGCATGAGCTTGGGACTCCACTTGTTGAGGAGCAGGGGGTCAAGGGCTCACCAGGAGGAAAGACTTATCTCCTCTCCATATCGTGACTGTGGTGTGCTGTAACCTCAGGTGTAGTCTTCAGACTCTTTGTTTCTTCCCCAGACTGAGGGCAGCAAGGACAGAACTGCTGCTGTGGCCATGGCAGAGGGGCTGTTGGATTCCTCTGAAAGCTTCCTCCCAGGGAAACTCCAAGCCATTACAAGTGGGTATTCTTAGCTGTGGGTGGGGTGACTGTTCTGTGGTTACGAGCCAGGAACCCTGCCTAGTGAAGAGTTGGGGGGAGTGTTGGGGGTTCCCAGGAAAGGGGGGCTGGACTCCTCTCCATATGGGGATATGGTGTGCTAGAGATGCCAGTGTAATGACTCAGCCCTTTGTTCCTTCCCCAGCCCAAGGGCTGTTAGGGCAATACCACTGCAACTGTAATGACAGCGGGGTTGTGGGTTGACTCTGAGATTTCCTCCTTGGAGAAATGCTGGGCTGCCTCTGACTGTGGTGATCAGGCAGGGGCACGGGGGTTGTGCTGGAGTCCCAGGTAGGGTGGGCCTGCCTAGTGAGGAGAAGTGAGGACTGAGATCTGCATAGAGAAGAGTCTGGCCACTTTTCTGTGAGGTGGTTGCTCTGTGCTGGGGATCCGGACCAGTCCCCATTGTCCACAGACTCTCTAGAGCCTGGAGACAGCAAGGACAAGGGTTGTGAGACAGCAAAGTTGGAAACCCATCCCTTCCACTGGGAGCTCTGTCCCAGGGAGTTGTAGAGTTGCTACTGGCTCAATAGCCCCAATGGCAGGTGGCTAGAGACCCAGGCCTGGAGGACCCACCCAGTGAGGAGATACAGGATCAGGGACCCACATAAGAGAGTCTGGCCACTTTTTCATAGGGCTGCTGCAGTATACTGGGGGTCCACTCCAGTCCCCAGTCACATTGGATTTTCCAGTACCTAAAGGTATCAACAGTGAAGGCTGCTAAACAGCAAAGATGGTGACCCATCTCTCCCTCTGGGAGCTTCATCCCAGGGAGGTTTGAAAACCCTTGTTGGCCAGAAAACACTGGCAGGAGTGACTAGAGACCCCTATCAGAGATTCTGCCCAGTGAAGAGAAACAGGATTTAGGATCCATGTGAATAAGCAGTCTGATCTCTTCTCTGTAGAGCTGCTGGGCTGTACCGGGTGACTGCTTCAGTCCCTGGTTGCCTTGGAATTTTTAGAGCCCAAACAAAACAATGGCTAAGGCTGTGAAAATGGCTATCCGTTTTTTAAAATGTGTTGAGGCTTGTTTTAATGGTCAGCATATGCTCTTTGTATATTGATTTATTTCCCCATTCTTTGGCATACATTTAATACTGGAATATAAAATCCAAAAATAAAGTCCCAAATTATCACATAATGTTGGAAAAATGTGATAAATTCCCTCCATGAGAATACAGATTGTATATGGCAATTTCCACAAAATTAGAAGCTTAAAAACACCCATTTATTATCTCATAGTTTCTGTGATTGGAGTCCAGGTACCAAGCTCACCTGTGTTTTCTCCTCAGAATCTCACAAGATTAAATTAAGTTGTCAGCAGAGCTGTGTTTCCTCAGGATGCTCTTGGGAAGGCTCTGTTTCTAGGATAATTTAAGTTGGCAGAATTCAGTTCCAAGCAATTGAAGAACTGAAGTTCTTATTTCCTTGCTTGTCATCAGCTGGGAGTGGCTCTCAGCTTCTAAAGGCTATGCACATGTCTTCCCACATAAACCCTTTCAAACTTAGCAATGGTAGAACAAGTCCTGCACACTCTTTGATCTCTCTGACTCCCGCTTCTGAGGAAGTCTCTCTTCTGCTTCCAGCCAGGTAGAGTTCTCTGCTTTTAAGGAGCACATACTTAAATTGGGTCATTCAGATAATTCAGAATAATCTCCCTATTTTATGTTTATTTTATAATTTTTTTAATTTTTAATTTTTATGGGTACATAATAGGTATACATATTTATGGGATGCATGAGACATTTTGATACAGACATGCACACAATATGTAATAATCACATCAGGGTAAATGGGGCATCCATTATCTAAAGCATTTATCATTTCTTTGTGTTATAAACATTCTAATTGTACTCCCTCAGTTATTCTCAAATGTACAACAAATTATTGCTAATGGTAGTCACCTTGTTGTCCTATCAAATGCTAGATCTTATTTATTGTATCTAACTATATTTTAGTGCCCATGAACCATCCAAGTACCCCCACCCACACTACACTTCTCAGCCTCTGGTAACTATCCTTCTATTCTTTATCTCCATGAGCTCAATTGTTTTAATTTTTAGCTCCCACAAATAAGTAAGAGCATGTGAAGTTTGTCTTTCTATGCCTGGCTTATTTCATTCAACATAATGAACTCCAGTCGCATCCATGTTGTGGCAAATAACAGCATCACATTCTTTTTTATGGCTGAATAGTACTGCATTGTATATATGTACCACGTTTTCTTTATCCATTCATCTGTTGATGGATACTTAGGTTGCTTCCAAATCTTGGCTATTGTGAATAGTGCTGCAATAAACATGGCAGTGCAGGTATCTCTTAAATATACTGATGTCCTTTCTTTGGGGTATAAACCTAACAGTGGGAGCATTGGATCATATGGTAGTTCTATTTTTAGTTTTTTGAGAAACCTCCAAACTGTTCTCCACAGTTGCTATAAAATTTACATTTCCACCAACAGTGTATGAGGGTTCCCCTTTCTCCATATCCCTGCCAGCATTCATTCATTATTGTCTGTCTGTGGATAAAAGCCATTTTAAATGGGGTGACATGATAGCTCATTGCAGTTTTGATTTGCATTTCTCTGATGATCAGTGATGTTGGGCACCTTTTCATATACCTGTTTGTCATTTGTACATCTTCCTTCAAAAAATGTCTAATCAGATCTTTTGCACATTTTTAATTGGATGATTAGATTTTTTTCTGTTAAGTTGTTTGAACTCCTTATATATTCTGGTTATTAATCCATTGTCAGATGAGTAGTTCACAAATACTTTCTTCTATTCTGTGGGTAGTCACTTCACTTTGTTGATTGTTTCCCTTGCTGTGCAGAAGCTTATTAACTTTATGTGATCCCATTTACCCATTTTTGTTTTGGTTGCCTGTGTTTTGGGGGTATTACTCAAGAAATTTTTGCCCAGACCAATATCCTGGAGAGTCTCCCCAATGCTTTCTTTTAGTAGTTTTGTGGTTTAAGGTTTTAGATTTAACCTAAATTTTCTTTTTGTATATGGCAAGAGATAGGAGTCTAGTTTCATTATTCTGTATGGATATCCAGTTTTCTCAGCAGCATTTATAGAAGAGATTGTCTTTTCCCCATTGTATGTTCTTGGAACCTTTGTTGAAAATGAGTTCCCTGTAGATGTATGAATTTGTTTATGGGTTCTCTATTCTGTTCCATTGGTCTATGTGTCTTTTTTTTATGCCAGTACCATGCTGTTTTGATTACTATACCTTCATAATATAATTTGAAGCCAGGTAATGTGATTCCTCTAGTTTCATTCTTTTTGCTTAGGATGGCTTTGGCTATTCTGGGTCATCTGTAGTTTCATATTAATTTTGGGATTATTTTCTCTATTTCTGTGAAGAAGATCATTGGTATTTTGGTAGAGATCACTGAATTTGTAGTTTGCTTTGGGTGATATGGACATCTTAACAATAGTGATTCCTCCAGTCCATGAACATGAAATATCTTTCCATTTTTATGTCTTCTCATCAATTTCTTTCATCGAAGTTTTCTAGTTTCCATTGTAGAGATCTTTCACTTCTTTGGTTAAGTTTATTCTTAGGTATTTTATTCATAGCTATTGTAAGTGGGATTATTTTCTTGATTTCTTTTTCAGATTGTTCACTGTTGCATATAGCAATGTTATTGATTTTTATATGTAGATTCTGTATCCTGCAACTTTACTGAATATATTTATAAGTTATAATAGTTTTTTGGTGGGATATTTAGGTTTTTCCAAATATGAGATCATATCATCTGAAAACAAGGATAATTTGAATTCTTACTTTACAGTTTGGATGCCCTTTATTTCTTTCTCTTCTCTGATTGCTCTAGCTAGGACCATCAATACTATGTTGAATAACAGTGGTGAAAGTGGGCATCCTTGTCTTGTTCCAGATCTTAGAGGAAATGCTTTCAGTTTTTCCCCATTCAGTATGATACTAGCTGTGGATCTATCATATGTGGCTTTTATTATGTTGAGGTACATTCCTTCTATACCCGGTTTTTTGGGGATTTTTGTCATGAAGGCTGCGGCCGCCACAGCTGGGAATTTGCTGGGTCATGCCTGAAGCCAGTACAATACTAGATCTTGCCTAAGGCCCTTGGTGACTGCCCTCTAGCTACCACTGATGTTTATTCAAGGCCCAAAGGCTCTTTAGTCAGCAGATGGTGAATTCTGCTAGGACTAGTTTCTTTCCTTCAGGGCAGTGGGTTCCCTTCTGGCCCACGGTGGGTATAGATATATTGTCTGAGAGGTATGGCCTGGAATGGGGGCTTCAGGACTCTGCTTAGTGCTTGATTTTACTGTGGCTGAGCTAGTATCCAAGTTGGAAGACAAAGTCATCCTTACTCTTCCCTTTCTTCCCGGAGCTGTGAGCTGCACTCTCTGGAGCTGGGGGAGGGGTAACACAAGCACTCCCTTGGTCACCCCAGATGGTGTCTCACTGGGTGATGTGCACTCCAAGTCCACTGGCTCTGAACCCAGCACAGCACCAGGACTTGCCCAGTCCTTATGGTCTAGACTGATTTCAAGTTTGTTAGGACCCCAGAGTGCTTTTAGTCCATGGCAATGGGGCTAACCAGAAATCAGGTTTTGACCACTGGGATCGATGATTCTTTTCTGGCTATGGCTAGTTTAAATGCTCCCTGCATGAGTGCCAGCCAAATTCTGCCCTGTGTTGCTTTCTGCTATAATAGGATAATACTGACTTCTAATGCAAAGCCTCACAATCACTTTGCTCTCCCTCCCCGAAAATGCACAGATTCTCTCTCCATGCCATGCTGTGCTGCCAGGGAGTGAAAGAGGGGTGGCATAGGCAATTCAAGACTGTCTTTCCTACCCTCTTTAGTGCCCCTTTCCTTGACATGATGTTAAAAGCAGGTACTGTGATCGCTCACCTGATTTTTGGTACTTATGAAGGTGCTTTCTTGTGTGGGTAGCTATTCGGTTTGGTGTTCCTGTAGTGGGGGATGATTGCTGGAGGGTTATATTTGGCCATCTTGCTCCTCCTCCTTGATAATTTTTTTAAGAGATGGGGTCTCACTCTGTCCCCAAGGATAGAGTGCAGTGGCACAATCATAGCTCACTGCAGCCTCGAACTCCTGGGCTCAAGTGCTCCTCCCATCTCAGCCTCCTGAGAAGCTAGGATTACTAGTGTGAGTGTATTGATTTTTAATTAAGCTTCTCATTTTGAAATAATTGTAGATTAACATGCAGTTGAAAGAAAAGATAGAGAAATCACCCACACGCTTTACCTAGTTTCCCCCAATGCTAATATCTTATAAAACTATGGTACAAAATCACAACCAGAATATTGACATTGATACTGTCAAGATGCAGAGTATTTCCTTCACCACAAGAATCCCTCATGTTGATCTTTTATAGCACACCCACTTGCCCACACTTCCTCCTTAATTCCTTGACATCCACTAATCTGTTTTTCATTTCTGTAATTTTGTCATTTCAACAATATTATATAAATGAAATCATATAAAATATACTCTTGAAAATAATGTGTATTCCTCCATTATTAGATATAGTGTTATATGAAAAGTGTTCAGTTGTGGTAGATAATATTTTTCATGTTCTCTATGATCTTAGTAATTTTTTTTTGTCTAGTGATTCTATTATCTGTGGAGAGAAAGAGATCTTAAATCATGATGTAGATTTATCTGTTTCTCTTTTAATTCTGTACATTTTGGCTTTATACACTTTGAAGCTGTGTTAGTAAGCTTATACACATTTAAAATTGTTATGTCTTCCTAATTCATTAACCTTTTAATTATATGAAAATGTCCTTCTTTATCTTTAGTAATACTCTTTCTTGAAATCCAGAGATTTATCTGATATTAATGTAGTCACGCTAACCTTCTAATGCTTACTGTTTTCGTGGTAAGTCTTTTTCCATCCATTTACTTTCAGCCTGTGTCTTTACATTTAAATATACCCATTATAGATACCATATAATTGTATCTTTTTTTATCTGTTCCAAAAATCTCTGTCTTAATTGATGTGATTAGTCAATTAACATTTAGCATAATTATTGATATGTTTAGGTTTGGTCTGCCATTTTATTATATTTTATTAACTTTTCACATTTCACTTACAGTTAATATTTTATTACTTCTTATAAATTATAGAAATCTTGCAATCATATAGATCAATTTAACATTTTTCCAGTCATGATATTAAGTTACTAAATGAAATACACCTACATATATTGTAAACCCCAAAAGTCAGTATTCTAATTTTTACTTTAAAAAGTTATATAATTTATAAAGTAGTTAAGAAGCAAAAAGCAGAAATGCAAAAGCTCTTTTGCATTTACTCAGATGTTTACCATTTCCAGAGAAAAAGAAAGGATCTTTCTCAACTTGATAAAAAGCTAACATTATTCTAAGTGGTAACAGACTGAATGCCTTCTCTGTAAGGTTAGGATCAAAGCAAGGATTCTACTCTCAACACTTTTTTCAACATAGTGCTGTAAGTTCTAGCCAGTGCAATAGGGCAAAACAGTGAAATAAAAGTCATACATATCAGAAAGAACAGAATAAAATTGTCCCTGTTTTCAAATGACATGATTCTCTACGTAGAAAATCTGAAGAAAAGATTTAAAACTCTTAGAACTTATAAATGAATTCAGCAAGATTACATGATACAAGATAAACTTATGAAAATTAATTGTATTTCTATACACTAGCAATGAAACAATGGAAAGCAAAATTTAAATAGAATACCATTTATGATCACTCAAAAAACTGAAATACTTTGGTATAAATCTAACACAACATGCCCAGGAAATGTAAGCTGAAATGCTGATGTACACAATGCTGATGAAAGAAATCTTTAGCAATCTATATAAATAGATACACCACGTTTATAAATTGAAAGACTTAGTAAATAGGTCAATTCTCCTCAAATTTATATGCGTTTAACATTACTCCAACTGAAGTCCCAGCAAGATCTTCTCTAGATATAGATAAGATTGTTCTAAAATTTATATAGAAAAGCAAAAGAACTAGAATAGTGTTTTAAATTTTGAGAAGAAAGAATAAAGTGGGAAGAATCAGTCTACCTGATTTACTGTATAGCCACAGCTATCAAGACTGTGTTGTATTTGCAAAGGGATAGACACATAGATCAATGAAATATAATCAAGAACCCAGGAATAAATCCACACAAATATGTCCCACTGATTTTTGACAAAGGTGCCACAGCAATTCAAGAGAAAAAAGGTAGCCTTTTTCAACAAAGAGTGCTGGAGCAATTGGATATTCACTGGAAAAAAAGAAAAACAAACAAACAAAAAACCTCAACCTAATTCTCACATCTTATATGAAAATTAACTCAAAATGGATCATGGATTTATACGTAAAACATAAAACTTTAACCCTTTTAGAAAAGAAAACAGAGGCCAGGCACAGTGGCTCACCCTGCACCACAAAAAATACAAAAAAATTAGCCGGGCATGGTGGCGCATGCCTGTAGTCCCAACTACTCAGGAAGCTGAGGCAGAAGAATTGCTTGAACCCAGGAGGAGAAGGTTGTAGCAAACTGAGATCGTGACACTGCACTCCAGCCTGGGCAACAGAGTGAGACTCCATCTCAAAAAAAAAAAAATAGGAGAAAATCTCCTGGATTTAGGGCTAGGCAAGGAGTTGTTAGATTTGACACCAAAAGCACAATCTATAAAAGAAAAATTGATAAAATTCATCAAAATTAAAAATTTTTGGTCTGTGAAAGAGCTGTTAAAGAGAACAAAACAAGTTCAGAGCAATAGAAAGCATTTGCAAACTATATATCTGACCAAGGACTAATATTTAGCATATATTAAAACTCTCAAACTCAAAAGTAAAATTAAAATCCAATTTGAGTATGGGCAAAAGACATAAAGAGACATTTCCACAAAAAGGTGGTAGAAATGGGAAATAAATACATGAAAAGTTGTTCATGTGGTTGGTCATTAGGAAAAACCTACTTGGGGAAAACCTAATAAGGTTATCATTAGAGAAAACCACCATCAGATATCACTATATACCTATCGAAATAACCAAACAAAAAATGGTGGTAACACCAAATGCTGGTAAGGATGCAGAGAAATTATATCATTTCTATATTGCTGGTGGAGATGTATAGTACAGCCATTCTAGAAAACAGTTCCTTAAAAAAAAAAAAACTAAACATATAGTTATATGACCATATGACCCAGCAGTGGCACTCCTGGGCCTTTATCACAAAGAAATGAAAACCTGTTAACATAAAAACCTGTGCATCAAACTTTATAGCAGCTTTATTCATTAAAAGCCAAACACTACAAACAGTCCAGATGTCCTTCAATAGGGATGGTTAAACAAACTGTGGTATGCCCATATGGACACTACAAAGCAATAAAAAGTAATGATCATTGATAAACATGACCACCTAGATAAATGTTCAGAGAATTATGCTGAGAAAAAAAAAAAGCCAATTTCAAAAGATTACATGCTATTTGATTCCATTTACATGACATTCTTGAAATGACACAATTACAGAAATGGAGAGAAAATTAATGGTTGCTAGGAGTTAAGAAGGGAGTGGTGGGCAGGAGGGAAGTGGGTGTGGCTATAAAGGGCTACACGAGGAATCCTCATGGTAAAGGAAATATTCTGCACCTTGATTGCATCTATGTCACTACGCTGGTTCTGATATTGTACTATAGTTTTACAAGATGTTAGCATTAGGGGAAACTAAATGTGTATAAGAAATCTCTATTATTTCTTGTAACTGTAAGTAAATTTATAATTTCTCAAAATTTTAAAATTAATTTAAAAATCAATATACAAAAGTTAAGTGTGGAAAATATTGGGTATTTCACAAGTCCTTTAGAGGCACCTACAAAGAATATTTTACAGTATATTCTTGAACATGAGGGATGCATTTTCCTCCAGTTGCACCATCAGATCTAGTTTTCTTGTGGCCCATTCATTTCAGACTGTATTCTGGTGTCCAGGAAGACCTGCAACACCTCCAGCAAGGATTTAAAACAGCTCTGGGCCAGCTGACTCTCCCTTTGGGACCCTTACCAGGTCCATTAGAAACACTCACATATTTCTTGTTTTGACAGCTCTGGGACTGCAGACTGCCTAAGGCAAACAAACATTCTCTCTCTCTTTTTCTCTATTTCTGTCAGGGCATCCAACCAGTCTCTGCCTTATAATTTTTCACACATGAGTTACATACTAGTACATTTCTCTAACCACAAATGACACATGTTCTTCAGGTAAGCCCGCTTAAGACCTTTTTCGACCGAAGGTGAAGAGAAGATCTCATAGCTCTTTCTAAAACATTTTCTCCTCCAATAGCCTTTATAGTCTCAGCTTAATTGAGAGAACTATGGGTTGCAAAACTAACTTTTTAATGTTCTTTTGAAAATTTGCTTCTTGCTCTGGCCATTCATACGAGGTGTGTCATAGCTGTGTTAACTTAGTGCCCTAGTCAAAACTTCTAATTTAATGTTCTTCTTCATATATAATACCTAAACGGGGATTAAAAGTTGATAAGAGGACCGGGTGCGGTGGCTCATGCCTGTAATCCCAGCACTTTAGGAGGCCGAGGTGGGTGGATCATGAGGTCAAGAGATTAAGACCATCCTGACTAACACAGTGAAACCCCATCTCTATTAAAAACACAAAAAAATTAGCCAGGCGTGGTAGCACGTGCCTGTAGTCCCAGCTACTAGGGAGGCTGAGGCAGGAGAATCGCTTGAACCTGGGAGGCGGAGGTTGCAGTGAGCCAAGATTGCGCCACTGCACTCCAGCCTGGATGTCAGAGGGAGACTCCATCTCAAAAAAAAAAAAAAAAAAGTTGATAAGAATAAAATGATCCATGTAAATTTGTTTGAGTTCATTGTAAATTCTGGATATTAGCCCTTTGTCAGATGAGTAGGTTGCGAAAATTTTCTCCCATGTTGTAGGTTGCCTGCTCACTCTGATGGTAGTTTCTTTTGCTGTGCAGAAGCTCTTTAGTTTAATTAGATCCCATTTGTCAATTCTGGCTTTTGTTGCCATTGCTTTTGGTGTTTTGAACATGAAGTCCTTGCCCACGCCTATGTCCTGAATGGTAATGCCTAGGTTTTCTTCTAGGGTTTTTATGGTTTTAGGTCTAACGTTTAAATCTTTAATCCATCTTGAATTGATTTTTGTATAAGGTGTAAGGAAGGGATCCAGTTTCAGCTTTCTACATATGGCTAGCCAGTTTTCCCAGCACCATTTATTAAATAGGGAATCCTTTCCCCATTGCTTGTTTTTCTCAGGTTTGTCAAAGATCAGATAGTTGTAGGTATGCGGCGTTATTTCTGAGGGCTCTGTTCTGTTCCATTGATCTATATGTCTGTTTTGGTACCAGTACCATGCTGTTTTGGTTACTGTAGCCTTGTAGTATAGTTTGAAGTCAGGTAGTGTGATGCCTCCAGCTTTGTTCTTTTGGCTTAGGATTGACTTGGCGATGCGGGCTCTTTTTTGGTTCCCTATGAACTTTAAAGTAGTTTTTTCCAATTCTGTGAAGAAAGTCATTGGTAGCTTGATGGGGATGGCATTGAATCTGTAAATACAACCCCATCAAAAAGTGGGTAAAGGACATGAACAGACACTTCTCAAAAGAAGACATTTATGCAGCCAAAAAATACATGAAAAAATGCTCATCATCACTGGCCATCAGAGAAATGCAAATCAAAACCACTATGAGATATCATCTCACATCAGTTAGAATGGCAATCATTAAAAAGTCAGGAAACAACAGGTGCTGGAGAGGATGTGGAGAAATAGGAACACTTTTACACTGTTGGTGGGACTGTAAACTAGTTCAACCATTGTGGAAGTCAGTGTGGCGATTCCTCAGGGATCTAGAACTAGAAATACCATTTGACCCAGCCATCCCATTACTGGGTATATACCCAAATGACTATAAATCATGCTGCTATAAAGACACATGCACACGTATGTTTATTGCGGCATTATTCACAATAGCAAAGACTTGGAACCAACCCAAATGTCCAACAATGATAGACTGGATTAAGAAAATGTGGCACATATACACCATGGAATACTATGCAGCCATAAAAAATGATGAGCTCATGTCCTTTGTAGGGACATGGATGAAATTGGAAAGCATCATTCTCAGTAAACTATCGCAAGAACAAAAAACCAAACACTGCATATTCTCACTCATAGGTGGGAATTGAACAATGAGATCACATGGATACAGGAAGGGGAATATCACACTCTGGGGACTGTGGTGGGATGGGGGGAGGGGGGAGGGATAGCATTGGGAGATATACGTAATGCTAGATGACAAGTTAGTGGGTGCAGCGCACCAGCATGGCACATGTATACATATGTAACTAACCTGCACAATGTGCACATGTACCCTAAAACTTAAAGTATAATAAAAAAAAATAGATTTGGGGCAACACAAATGAAAAAAAAAAAAAGATCCAAAATGCAAATAGACAATTCACAGAAAATAATACCTTAAAGGCAAAAAGAATAAAGAAAAGATTCCAAAATACACTGATAGCGTGATTCACTTTAAGCCTATCAGACCGGCAAAAATTCAAAAGTTTATCTTACCAATCACTGATGGGGAGTCAGAGAAAAGGGTATCTTTGTACACTGCTGATGATAATGTAAATTTGTACTGCCTTTTTGGAAAGCAATCTGGAAACATCTGTTAAAATCAAAAATATGCATGGAAATAAAAGCTCAGTGTGCTAGTTCAGGTCAGTGTGCTAGTATGCCACATCAAGATTAACATGCAAAAGATTTATTAGAGAAAGTGCCTGTGAAGAATGATGACAGAGGAAGCAGGAGTAAGTGGAAACTCTATGGACTGTGATGCAGATCTGATACCTGTGAAAGGAGAAAGGGAAGGAAGGATTGCGTAAGAAGAGCCTGAGACTGCAGCACAACTCTGAGAACATTTCAGCTGTGCTGATAAGGAGTCCCCAAGCAGACTGCTCATTAGAAGAGTCCTGCATTGCAAAAGAATGAGACACACTCAGTCATTGGCTGGGGATTACAAATCCTTGTAACAAATTGCCTTGTTAACGAATGTCATAGTGATGAACCAAAAGAGCAAAGAGCTAGAGACTGTCAATTAACTATGCTCGCTGCAGCAGGGTATCTCAAAGAAGATCTAAGTGGCATGAGCACAGAGGCATGAGAGTATGGATATGAGGATATGGTGTTGAGAATTGTTCACGATGGCAAAACAACTAGAAACAAATTAAATACCCAAATTAGGGGAAAGGTTGAGTAAATTAAGTCCTATCCACGCCAAGGATTAATATGTAGTTCATCAAAAAGAGTGAAGTACGCCTTACTCTTGATCTAGAGGAGTTTCCACACATTAATGCTAAGAAAGCTAGTGTATGACAGCAACTCATTTATTAAAAATCAAAGACCAAGACTACACTTTCAGGGATCCTTTCTTCAGTTCGTTACTAGAGGTTTCTCTGAATATGTAGAGCACCAGAAACCACTAGAAGGAAATGCAGTGTGCTCTCTCCAGAGTGTGAAGCCAACCCTTGGTGTTGCTTGGCTGCAACTGCCGTTTACCATTGACAATTGTTCTCTTCCTCAAGAAGAATGAGAGGGAAAGAAGGCAGTCTGTGTGATTCCCATTAAAAAATAATAATTTTTTAAAAAATAAAAGACCAAAATACACAGTTACATGAGCTTAACAAAAAGTGCACAAGGCTACAAACCAGGCTGCTGGCCTGGTTTATTCATTAAAAGCCAAACACTAGAAACAGTCCAGATGTCCTTCAATAGGGATGGTTAAACCCTTTTATCACAGCCTGTCCACGTGACAGTCCTCCCACTAGACCAGGAGCCCCTTGAGGATTGCAACCTAACATGGCACCTGATACTTTCTGCTTAATAAGTACTTACTGAATGATTAAATAAATGAATGAATGAACTCAAAGGGAAGTTATAATTAACCAAATGGAACAGAGATAAGAAGCAGACATAGGAATCTTTTATACCTAAGAGATTGGAACTGGCAATACGCTATGAATGTAAAATCATGTATAAGCTTTTTATTATTAAATGACTTCCATGTCTCTTTATTCATTATTTTAATGCAAGTATTTCATCCCTCAGTTGTTAATCTACTTTCAAAGCCTAAAAGAAAGTTATCTTTAAGGTACCATAAAATTGTCACATTACTAAGGTTGAAAATAGAGTACCTACAACTGTTTTTTGAAAATAGAATCTTTTATCACTGGGCAGTACCAGCAATAGACATGCTGTTAGAATTCGCTGTAAATACAGTGACTGGCAAGTATGTACTTGCAGAGTCAATAAGCCTTCATTTCAAATACAGACTACCACCATTTAGCTGTTCTTCCTCAAATACCTCTCTGCTGCATCCCAATTAATTGTCAACATTTACAATCACCTGGCCCCACTAGGCTTCCTTCCCCCACCACAGAGCTCTCACCCACTGACTCAGCAAGAGCAGTTAAGAACATGCATAGGTCACAGGATGACCACAGTTATGTCCACTTCCACAGTAAATGTGACAGTTCACATGTCCACCAAAGGTAAAGGAAAAAAATAGACAAAACAACCTTGCTATCAAAAGTCTACACAATGGCAGTCTCATTCAACTAGAAGAAGGAACAAAATGAAAGGTGAGGAATCAATGTTAGAACCAGCCCTCCCATGAGGAACAGTTTTGATAGAAAATGAATGAAAGCAAGTAAACAGACTTCGGAAGCCCTGAAAGACAGTGAAACAGCCAAAGAAAAGACCAAGTTCAGGAAACTCTGTTGGGAAGATGATTAAAATGTCAAAAGACAGAATTGAAGAAAGGTATGTCAAAGGCAGTAAGGAAGCCCAAAGATCTGGGCTGTGTGTGTGTGTGTGTGTGTGTGTGTGTGTGTGTGTGGTGTGATATTCTCAGATGGGCATGCAATATTCTGATATAAGTACTTCTGAGCAGTTTTTACTTGCAAATGGATACAAATTACATGCTTTTTAATGATATTAGCCATATCAGTGGGTGGTGGTGAGAAAAGAAAAATGGAATCAGGGATGTATGGGTTCTGACTAGCTCTGTCATTAACCAGGCCCTGGGCAAGTCATTTAATTCAATAACCCTAAATCTGTTCATGACACACAATCCCCAGTTTTTCCAGACCTCTATAAAAATGTAAGGCCAGATCTCTGTTCCCTAAATCAGAGTCACCAGGGGAAATTGCCAGACCCAAGCCTAGAGACTCAACTTTGCTAGATCTGGGGTGAGCTCAGTAAGGTAATATGATTGATTTTTTTTTTTGATGGAGTTTTGCTCTTTGTTGCCAAGGCTGGAGTGCAGTGGTGCTATCTCGGCTCACTGCAAACTCCGCCGCCTCCCGGGTTCAAGCAATTCTCCTGTCTCAGCCTCCCGAGTAGCTGGGATTATAGGCACCTGCCACTATGCCCAGCTAATTTTTGTATTTTTAATAGAGACGGGGTTTCACCATGTTGGCCAGGCTGGTCTCGAACTCCTGACCTCAGATGATCTGCCTGCCTTGGCCTCCCAAAGTGCTGAGATTACAGGCGTGAGCCACCATATCCGGCTGGTAATATGAATGTGTTAAAAACTCCTTCAGCAACTCTGAAACTCAGTCAAGTTTGTGAAGCACTGTTCTGTATGATCTTTATGGTTCCCCCCAGCTCAAAAATCCCAGAGTGACTCCTGAGTCACCAAAAACAAACTGAGATGGTCATCCCATCATATTGAGTGTTTAATTTACACAAGCCATGGAAGTAACAGAGCTATTTATTTCATTTTCAAATAGACTCACTTACCAGACACAGCTAATTTTGTTTATTATCTGGTTGGGGGCTGAGAGGAAGGTGCATTTGGCACTGAATCATCTGCCTTTGTGTCAGTGAACCTCCAAGCCAAGTGATTAAAAGAATTGAAGTGGGCTGAGCATAGACTGGTGGATAAGCCTATTACAAGATCTAGAAAGAATTTATACGTTCCCAAGAGACTAAGTGAAAGCCATAAGTATAGAGAGAGCAAATGTTTTTATTTAATATTAACTTCCCCTTTCAGAGACCCCACTGAGCGCTGTGCAATGGGCTGGCACAGGCAATGACACAGACGAGTGAGAATCTGATTATAATGTATATGAGGAAAAAGTACCTCATTTAGGACTCCTCTCATCCTTCAGTCCTATTAGTTTCATTTACTAACAGTATAATATTGTTGAGCTCACCCCTTTATTAGAGGCTTCTTAAAACCACAAGTATGAAATTTTAATTTTGTACAAAATATTTGTGTTCTGACTTCTTATCTAGATTCAAAAATTCATTTTATAGCTGAAAAACATTATGCTATTTGTGGCCCCTTTAAAATGTCTTGAAATCTCTAATTGATTAAAACTATTTAACATTATGTTTCCTTATGGTATCGTGCACTAGGCTATAATAATTCATTTCATCACAGCTTCCCTAGGACCTCCTGTGATGTTTATGAGCTTGCTGCTATGGTGATTTTATTTTCATTTATAAAAGAATGTGTTACTACCTAGTCATCCCCATTTTCTAAGAAATCTTTTCTCTGAAATTAGAAACCAGGTATGAATTTTAACCTTTTGGGTCTGTGATAAGTGTTTTAATGGCTTCATTTAACAAACTATACTATTATTTAATTGCTTTGATTCATCTAATTTTGTGAAAAACCCAGGGAAATAGGGTTGATGTGAAAACTAAATTAATACTCACTGCCATGTATGAACTTCTTTCATACTCAGATGGCTCCTCAATGGCACTTCAGCTTCATGAGACACAATTCCCATGCTAATCCAAAGGTCTGGAATGACAAACTATTAGAAGAGGAAGGGATCTTAGAGCTTATCAAGTATAACTTCTTACTGGTTTGGAAATCTACCTATATATCAATCTATCTATCTATATCTATCTTGAAATGTGAGTAGTCAGCTTCTGCATGAATTCCTGGGACAGGAGAAAGCCTGCACCAGAGTTGGAAACTCCTAAGAATTACTTGGAAACCCCATCATGATATACAGGTGTTTACTACTAAACTCACGACTGTGACCTCTGAACAACTGAATAAGATTAATTCACTTCTCCTGACAGCCCTCAAATTGTTTGAAGACAGCGGTGCCTACAAAAACATCTCAAAGTTGCACATCCCAAGAGGCTGCAGGAAGAAGGCAGATGGTAGGCAGGGCTAACATGAATCTCCTACTTGCATGGTCAGAACAGTGTGTGGAGATTCACACTGTGAACTTTTGTTCCAAGAACTACTACAGGAAAACCAAAAGAATTTACCAGGAAAACCAAAAGAATTTACAGATCCTTTGAAAGAAATGGCATGCCATTGCAAACTCAGTGAGACAGAAGAAAAACTGTGAGTTCCCAAAGTGTGAGTGGGGAATAACCTGCCTCCAAACACACATCCCCACTGGGGAATCTGAAAACTCAGGTGGTGGGGGAAGGATTTAACCCTACCTAGAGCTGGAATGGATTTAGGGAGCTGTGCAAAATATAAAAGGAGAAGCAGCAATGGGAATAGCCTTTTAGGCACCCCCAGTCTCCAGCTTGAGCCCAGGGAAGTCATCCCTGACTATATCTCACAGGGCCCCTTGGGGAAGGCAGCCAGCAGAATTAGGGAGGGGTCACAGGGTGAATGAAACTGCCAGCTGAATTTTGTGATACTCTCTACTGGGCATCAACTTCCTTGAGCAGAATCTGGGGGGCAAAGAAGAACAGCTGCAGATATAGGCACAAGAGCTACTGCCATTGTGAACAGAAGAGCAGGGGCTGTGGCCTGAAAGCCATGCTTACTTTCTCAAGGAGGAGGCTTCTGGCCTAGGGCAAGTGTGAGTTTTGCACACAGGTTTCCCTGTTAGCAGGGCACTGCAGGAGCAAGATGGCCTTGCCAACTGTGTGGGAGGTAGATGAGGCCTTTTGCTACCGGCTATCTTGCACTTCCCTGGCAAACAATACTGCTAAACAGAGGCAGCCATACTCTCTTCTGTATGAACCACACCTTCATCCTCCACAGTGGCCATGGCAAGCTCTGCCCAAGAAGAGTTTGACTTCAGACACACCTAACCCTGCCCCCACCTGATGGTATTTCTCTAACTCAAATCCCTCTATAACACTGCAGCTGGTGTTCTATTATAAGTGCCACCTCCTGGCTGGAGGCCAACAAACTCAGGTCATTACAGCAACTCATGTCAGAATGACCCTCATCCCAGGAAGGAGAAAACAATACCTAATTCCACTGCCTGAAACATCCTGGCTAACCAGAGGTCCTGAGTGTATCCACACAGCAGCTTCACTGCTAGCACAGCCAGCATTCAAGAAAGCCAGCACACTAAACCTATCTACAGCCAAGGATTCTCACAGAGTCTACATCACCCCCCTGCCACCTCTACCAGAGCAGGTGCTGGTATCCATGGCTGGGAGACCTGAAGACTGATCACATCACAGGACACTTTGTAGACATTCCCAAGCCCTAGCCCAGAGGCTGGTACCCCACTGGGTGGCTATACCCAGAAGAGCAAATAACAATCATTGCAACCCAACTCCCAGGAAACCTCATCCCTATGGGAAAGGGGAGAACACAATATCAAGGGATCACCCACGGGATAAAAGAATCAAACAGTAGGCCTTAAGTTCCAGATCTTTTTGCTGGTGGGTAGTTTCTCACAACAGAGACACAATTGCAGTGCTGGGCACAGTAGGGAAAGTCTGCACCTCTACCCCAACAAGCATACACCCTCTAATCATGAAAGACCTTGCAGAAGGGGTCTTTGTTCCCCCTTGGCACTCCAATGCAGACAGAGCTGGGGCTTCCCTCACAGGACTGCAACATGGAGGCACCTATAGATAGCCTTTCTGGAAAAATCCAGGGTGAGTGCAGCCCCCAGGAGGAGTACCCCCAAGATTCAGGCCTACATAAGAAGCAGAGTCACAATTCTTCCCTACTTGGAACATCAACATTCCCTGGAGATAAAAACAGGTGCCTGTCTGAATAGCTGAAACATTAGGACAGAAGTGAGGCTGTGAGGTGAATAGTTTTCCTGCTGACCTGGCAGGAGAGTGGAGGTAGCTCCCACTCTTCACCCTGATAAAACCTCAACACATCTAATTGAGAGTTCCCCCAGTCACCCTCATCAAGGCTGGAACCTCAGCCCACTCTTGGGTATTACATCTTACTCACTCATCTTAGCTAAAACCAGTGCCTACCCAGGGATACCTCCCCTATTAGCTTTAAGCCTGAATCATCAACTCAGTAAATGAAACAATGGGAAAAAAATTAAATAAATAAACTATACACCATGAAAGAATAAGATAAGCTTCAAGAGATCCCTGCCATTTCAACTCCGTCAGAGACAGGCAACTCACTGACAAACCAAGAATATACCAGCATCAGAGAAAGACAGCATAAAAAGACTCTCTATAACTAATGAACTTATACAAAGTCTTCACCCCTACAAGCACAAGAACCAAATTAGGCTAAAATAAACACTATGGTCTGATCCTTAAGAGAGAGAAGAAGGCCGGGCACAGTGGCTGATGCCTGTAATCCCAGCACTTTGGGAGGCTAAGGGGGCAGATCACCTGAGGTCGGGAGTTCATGACCAGCTTGACCAACATGGAAAAACCCTGTCTTTACTAAAAATACAAAATTAGCCAGGCATGATGGCGCATGCCTGTAATCCCAGCTACTCAAGAGGCTGAGGCAGGAGGATCACTTGAACCTGGAAGGTGGAGGTTGCGGTGAGCTGAGATTGCACCATTGCACTCCAGCCTGGGCAACAAGAGCGACACTCCATCTCAAAAAAAAAGAGAGAGAGAGAGAGAGAAGAAAAAGAGAAATTTAAATTAAAAAAATACAGTTCAATCAAATATAAATTCAAGAAAAATTTGAAGAAATAGTCTACCAAAATGAGAAGGAAACAGAAAAGTAACTCTGATAAGATGACAAAACAGGGTTCTATAACACCTCCCAAATATTACACTAGCTCCCTGACAATGGATCCAAACCAAGAAGAGATCTCTGAATTGCCAGATAAAGGATTCAGAAGGTAGATTATTAAGATACTCAAGAAGATACCAGAGAAAGTTGAAAAACAACATAGAGAAATTAAAAAAAAAAAAACTATTTAGGATGTGAATGAAAAATTTTCCAGAGAAATAGATATCATAAAGAAAAAACAAGCACAACTTCTGGAAATGAAAGACACATGTGGGGAAATACAAAATGTAGTGGAGAATTTCAACAATAGGCTGCAACAAGTAGAAGAAAGGACTTCAGAGCTCAAAGATAAGGCTTTCAAATTATCCCTATCAGGCAAAGACAAAAGAGAATTTTAAAAAATATGAACAAAGCCTCCAAGAAATTTGAGATTGTTAAATGGCCAAACCTAAGAATAATTGGTGTTACTAAGGCAGAAGAAAAATCTGAAAGTTTGGAAAACTTATTTGAAGGAATAATTGAGGAAAAGTTCTCTGGCCTTGCTAAGAGATCCAGACATCCAAATACAAGAAGCTCAAAGAACACCCAGGATATTCATTACAAAAACATCATCACCTAGGCACACAGTCATCAAGTTATCTAAAGTCAAGATGAAGGAAAAAAATCTTAAGACCTCTGGGATTAAAGCATCAGGTAGCCTATAAAGGAAAAACTATGAGATTAACAGCTGATTTCTCAGCAGAAACCTTACAAGCCAGAAGGGATTTGGGTCCTATCTTTAGCCTCCTTAAACAAAATAATTGTTAGCCAAGAATTTTGTATCCAGCAAAACTAAGCTTCAGAAATGAAGGAGAGATAAAGTCTTTTTCAGACAAACAAATGCTGAGAGAATTTGCCACTACCAAACCAGAACTATATGAAATGTTAAATAGAGTTCTAAATTCTGAAGCAAAACCTCGAAATATACCAAAAATAGGACATCCTTAAAGCATAAATCTCACAGGGCCTACATAACAATAACACAATGAAAAAAAAAGTATTTGGGCTACAACTAACATGATGAATAGAACAGTACCTCACCTCTCATTACTAACATTGAATGTAAATGGTCTAAATGCCCCAGTTAAAGATACAGATTGGAAGAATGGGTAAAAATTAGCCAACCAAGTAACTGATGTCTTCAAGAGATTTACCTAACACATAAGGACTCACATAAACGTAAGGCAAAGGAGTGGAAAAAAAATATTCCACACAAATGGAAACCAAAAGTGAGCAAGGGTAGCTATTCTTATATCAGACAAGACAGACTTTAAAGCAACAAGAGTTTAAAAAGACAAAGAAGGATATTATATAATTATAAAAGAATTAGTCTAACAAGAAAATATCACAATCCTAAATATACACGCACCTAACACTGGAGCTCCCAAATTCATAAAACAATGACTACTAGACCTAAGAAATACAATAGACAGCAACACAATAATAGTGGGGGACTTCAGTACTCCACTGACAACCCTAGAGAGGTCATCAAGACAGAAAGTTGACAAAGAAACAATGGACTTAAACTGTACCCTAGAACAAATGGACTTAACACATATTTATAGAACATTCTACCCAACATCTGCAGAATATACATTTTTTTCATCCCCACATGGAACATTCTCCAAGATAGACCATATCATAGCCACAAAACAAGCCTCAATAAATTCAAGAAACTCAAAATCACATCAAGTACCATCTCAGCCCACAGTGGAATAAAACTGGAACTTTACTCCAATTTCCAGTTGGAAATACATGAAATACATGAAATGCATGAAATACATGAAAATTAAATAACCTGCTCTTGAATGATCTTTGGGTTAACAATAAAATCAAGATGGAAATTTAAAAATTCTTTGAACTGAATGATAATAGTGACACAACCAATCAAAACCTCTGGGATACAGCAAAAGTGATGTTAAGAGGAAAGTACATCGCATTAAATGCCTACATCAAAAAATCTAAAAGAGCACAAATAGACAACCTAAGCTCCCACCTCAAGAAACTAGAGAAACAAGAACAAACCCAACCCAAACCCAGCAGAAGAAAAGAAATAACAAAGATCAGAGCAGAACTAAATGAAATTGAAAGAAAAATAATATAAAAGATAAATGAAACAAAAAGATGATTCTTTGAAAAGATAAACAAAATTGATAGACCATTAGCAAGATTAACCAAGAAAAGAAGGGAGAAGATACAAATAAGCTCAATAAGAAACAAAATGGGAGCTTTTACAACTGATACCACAGAAATACAAATGATCATTCAAGGCCACTATAAATACTTTTACATGCACAATTAGAAAATCTAGAGGAGATGGAAAAATTCCTGGAAATAAACAACTCTCCTAGATGAAATCAAGAAGAAATAGAAACTCTGAACAGACTAATAACAACTAGCAAGATTGAAATAGTATTTTTTAAAATGCCAACAAAAAAGGTCCACGACCTAATGGATTCACAAATGAATTCTACCAGACCCTTAAAGGAAAAACAAACTGTAGAAATCACCACTAACAAAAGCTTTTCCATGTAACCAAAATCTGCATGTTTCCCAAAAACTATTGAAATATATATTTTTTTGTAAGTTGCACATCCCTACTTCCTACTGTGTCCCTCCCTCCCATGACATGGTTTTTCTAGGGCCCTTGCCCATTTCTTCTTTTAAATCTATTGTAGTTCCAGGATATAGGAATGTTTTGCCCTAGAAGGAAAAAGATTGTCTTTGTATAGAAGGGTTCATTCCTCTTTTAGAATTTAAAATTAAATATTTATTATAAAAAAAAAACCAAAGATGTGGTTTACACATTGTAATTACTCACCAGGCACCATCTACTCTTTGTATGAGCTTTTTATTTGGTAGATTAGTGCTCTCAAACAAAGACAATGTCATATTCATCTTTCAATCCTCTGCAACTAACAAACTGCCAGCACATGACCATCCAATATATGTTTGCCTTAATAAAATTTAAGACACTTCAGGTGAACTTCTAGAAACCCTCCAGTCTTGATTAATTGCACAATAAACACACCTCTAGTTCAAGATCTGCAAATGAATTAAAGTTCAGCTATTTGACTATAACAAAATGGTCTTGTGGATGCAATGTGGAACTTCTGTTCCCCAGTAATTTCTCTTTGGCATAATATACATCACTTTTCAGGATAATATAATTTTCAGTATTTTTCTAATCGTTTACAAAATCAAAGGACCTAATCCAGGAATTATATTTTCATTCCTACTTATAAAACATTACAATAGAACTATGTTTTCCTTTTAAAACCTATTTTAAAAAAACCTCTGTTGTTCATTAAAATATTAGCTATTAATAATAATAAATATTTCAACTGGACATCTTGTACCTTGGACACTTTTCAAAGCACTTCCAAAATATATGACATTATCATCAGCCATCCTTGTGAGATAGGCATCATTCTTTTGTTTGTTTGTTTTTTGAGATGGAGTTTCACTCTTTCGCCCAGGCTGGAGTGAAGTGGCGTGATCTCAGCTCACTGCAACGTCCGTCCCCCACCCCCACACCTCCCCCACTCTGGGGTTCAAGCGATTCTCCGACCTCAACTTCCCGAGTAGCTGGGATTACAGGCATGTGCTACCATGCCTGGCTAATTTTTGTATGTTTAGTAGCAATGGGGTTTCACCATGTTTGGCCAGGCTGGTCTCGAACTCCTGACCTCAGGTGATCCACCTGCCTCGGCCTCCACAAGCGCTAGGATTACAGGCATGAGCCACCACATCCAGCCTAGGTATCGTTCTTTAGTCTTTCATTCTTTTTTAGAGAGAAATCATAAAATTGCCTCTTTCTAAAACACATACATTAAAAAAAAAAAAATAAAACTTCCCCTACCTAAGGAATATCCCTGTAACCCACGGTTGTCACATTCCAAACTCTCTTGTCCTTTCTTGGCCTAAGAGCAACCCTAAAGAGAGCTGTATCTCTGAGACCAAGGCTATTTTGTACCCAAAGATTTGGGAGCAGCTCAGCCAGCCCCACAAGAACCCAAATAGTAATCCCTCATTTGTGCAACAAGTTTATGCAGGTCCCAAACACCACACTCCATCTTGTCCAACTTTAATAATGAAATTATGGTAAACTTTAAGTTTCCGTAAACCATGGCTCTTTTCAAGATATGCCAAGCAAATTCTCAAGGTGATAAGCTATGTGACAAAGCTGCCAAGTAGGGCAGCCTGCAGTGACCCCTTCTGCTGATTAGTCCCAGCCTTTGAAATGTCTAACTACAGCAAAGACCCCAAAATAAAGGTGCTTGACCCTACCTCTGCAAAAGTGATGTAGTGGTGTTGGTAGAAATAGAAAAAAAATTGCAACCAGGAGTAACTTTACTTCCTGCATGACAAAATTTCATTCGAGAAATATATATTGCACCCCCTCCATGTAACAGGCATGAATAATTTTAAATATTTAATTTTAAGTGAATTAAACTCCTTTGCATCTTGACTTATAGAATAACACATTTCTGAGAACCAAAGGAGAGTGAAGTTTGTTCATCTCAGGTAAGTAACCAGCCTGTATTACAGACTGAAGTATCAGCTTTCAATTTTTTTTATTGTTTCTACTCTTTCTTCTTCTTCTTCTTCTTGTTTCTACTTCTTCCTCGTCTTAGGTAATCATCTTAACTAATCCTTGGGCCAAAAACCCTCCCATGCAACTTCCATCAGTTGCAGTGTCTGTTATTTTCATCTGTCCAGTGTATTATAACCTGACACTGTTAGTTTATTTCATTAAAGCTCCCATATTTCTCTTTAAGTGTAACCAGATTTTGAAACTCATTTGAAAATATTTTGAAATGAAATTGTATAGGTACTTATTGACAGTGATAAGGGGATAATAGCCACAATAAATCCCAGGCTCATATCTAAATGCTGATGAAAATATTCTCAGGTCATGTGCTAAATTAAACCATGTTTCTTCAGGCGGACTTCTGCCAATTACATGTCGCAGTTTTGTTGACAAGAAGAAATTGCAAATATCTCTTAAAGAAAATTATTTGCAGAGGTTGAATTGTTAAATGCAGCATTGTAAATAGCACCAGTTATGTTTTGGATGTTAAAAGAAAAAAGTTTCATATGTAAATCAAAAAAATATATACAATAGTTTTTTCCCTGAATTTGTTTTTATATTTATTTACCAAAAAGTAGTAATTTTAAAATGGTATTTGCATGAACTCATTGCACAGTTACCTTTAGAAAAAAATCAAGTAATCATATTTAGAAGGCAGAGGAAAGAAAATAAAGGCACAGCCTAAAAAGAATCCAATTAATTCATAACAGGAAGTGAAAGTTGACAATCATTACTCTTGCCAAATTGCTTCCCAGACAGGATCTCAAATCAACTGTAAGTTGCCATTAAAGTCAACAAGATTTTATCCTGAAACTCATACTTTATTTGTGCCAGTTCTAATGATCATAAGAAGTTTTCTCCATTACAAGAATTATTGCATGGTATAGCACAGCCAGTCTGTAATTATATAATATGTTAATATAGTTATGTTTACATGTTCAATCAAAAAATATATATTTACTCTATACTTCCTAAGAGACTGGCTCTGGGCTGGATGCTGGAGTTACATCTGAAGGCAAAACAGACACCATCTCTGCCCTAATGGATCTTTTAATCTAGTGGTGCAGTTAGACATTAATCTCACTAATATATCATTGGAACTGCACTTCAGTAGCACGAGGTAAGGTCCAGGGTGTTATCAAAATGTGTACCCAACGGGACTTGATCTGAAGTGAGAGAGTGAACAAAGGCTGTCTTCTGGTTTCCGGGGAGATCAAACAGAAGAATGCAAATGAAGTCTTAGTGGCTTTTCTTGTTTTATTTGTTAATGATCTGACTTCCTGGCAGACTGAATTTGATAGATTCAGTGGTATATTATGCTATACCCATCCCTGGGGGGAGAAAAATATTTTAGCCTCGAGGTGCTCTCTTGACCTGTGTGCAAAATTATGCCATGTTCCTGGTCTCTTCCTTGAGCCAAAATCACGCTAAGTTCCTGTTTTTAATATGCCAATCACATTATAAAACAGGGTTAAACAGAATGAGAAAAGTAGACGTTGTAAAAATGCCTCTTGTTTTGTGTAATAAAATATTTATTATGATAAATAATCTTGTTTTGAGAAAGTACATCAAAGAGAGACATAATTCACAGATAGCATAGATTTACATATTGCAGAAACAGCATTATTAATGTTACCCATCAAAAGGATGGCATCTTTTTTGTCATAGATCTATATGCCAAAGTAAAAGTATTTAAATATTCAAAAGATTTCCAATTCTGCTAAACAGTATTTAGAAGTTTAAAGATAAGCTTTCTGAAGTTTAAAGATAAACTTTGTGAAAATACATAAGACTAATTCACCCTGAAATTTTCTGCATTTGTGAACTGAACCATGCAAATTTGAAAGTTTAAATATTTTGGACATCAGAGATGAACCGATATATTTAACTTCCTTTGGCATATACCCTCTGTTGATTACTAAGCAATATTGGTAGCCAGTACATAGCTACGTGTCCATTCAGAGAAGCATTTTGCCTGGATGGTCTGATGGGCTTAGGCTTGAGGGAATATCAGCACTTTCCTGGTTCCCTTAGTCCCCTGGTCCTGTTCTTCTCCCCTTTTCTGTTTCAGAGTCTTTGCCAGTTCCCACATCTTTTCACCTTCCTCCTAACAGGCTCTGAGAGTATGGACTCAACTTCCGTCTAAGACAGGCATTATCAACCTCTATTCCTGAATGTAAAGAAAAAGGGCTAGAGCTTATTTCTCCTTTCCAATGTCACAAAGCAAAAAAATACAGAAAAATTAAGGAACTTCTTGCAATATGCAGACTATGCTAATGCAGATCCCAAAATTCTGGATAAATATAGTATCACAATAATATCACATAGCTTAGATGAAAAGAAATCCTCAATTGGCCAGAAAACATACGTGAACTTTTCAAAACCAGGATGAAAAACATGAACAGATGATGTTTGGAGGTTGGAGAAATCATAAAAAATGGGTCTTGTTTTTTCCTGATATTTGTTTTAAATTTCACTTATTTTCATACCAATCAGTATTGTTTTTTTTTCTGGAGACGGAGTCTCACTCTGCTGCCCAGGCTGGAGTGCAGTGGCGTGATCTCGGCTCATTGCAACCTCCACCTCCCCGGTTCAAGCAATTCTCCTGCCTCAGCCTCCAGAGTAGCTGAGACTACAGGTGCTGCCACCACACCTGGCTAATTTTTTGTATTTTAGTAGAGACAGGGTTTCACCGTGTTACCCAGGCCGATCTCAAACTCCTGAGCTCAGGCAATCCAACTGCCCCGACCTCGCAAAGTGCTAGGTTTACAGGCATGAGACACCGTGCCCAGGCTCCAATCAGTATTTTCTATTCTTGCAGCACAAACTATTTTTATTTTATGTATGCAAATAATTTTTAAAATATCTATTTTTGTTACTTTGCATGAGAAATGTATTAATTTTTGCTCTTCTTAAATCTTTTGTAAGAGTTAATCAGAAGAAACATAATTTTTCAAAAGAGAGATCTTGTAAAGATTTTTTATGTAACTAATGTCATTAACTGTTATACTTAGAAGAAGACATACTTTAATAATCATTAGAACCATACAAAAATCAATTAAAATCCACAGGTTCCAATTTCTACTGACTTGAATATAACCCTGGGAAATTCAGTTGATATTTCTCTGTCTCAGTTTATCCACTTGCAAAATCAATTTAATAATATTCTTAATTTACTTTTAGTGTCAGTTGGAGACTTAATTAATGTTAATAAACTAATTTTCTTTGGTTAAAAGACTAGATAATTATGCATTACTTTAATGTTCTTAATTTTGAAAGTATTGTAAGATGTTTAAGTGATTAAGTCTGCAAATTTTTCATTGACTTTTATTTGAATTTGATTAATCACAATATGTTTTAATTTTTAAAGCATATATATGGTTTTTCAAAGTGATAAAACCTTTACCATTCAATAAAGCAAAACTACACCAAAACATTGTCTCCTTACTTTAAAACTCTGTGTCTCATTTCTTACATTGCTTTTGCTTTTAATTGTACTCAAAGCAAGTATATCTAAACTACGAGTGTTTATTTTCAGTTAAAAATATGTATAAATAGATTTTGAACGAGCTTTAAATGCTGGTCTCATTTATCTTATTTCTTCAAACATGGTGTGATTGTACGTGTGTGTGTGTGTGCGTGTAGTGGGATAGGAAAATTAGGTATGAGCTCAACGTATATGTGTGTTAGAAGTAAACCTCATTACAAATGTGTAATTGACATAAGTAGATCAAGGTGAACCAAAATAGGACTTGGATGTTTAAGAATCAAAATATATATTTCCTTATCATACCTCTTCTTCTAAAGATTTAACAGAAAAATAATTTTTCTGAGTTTTATCATAATGCCACTCTTTCTTAATATTCTAGCCTTCATTTTGCCTAATGCATTTTCTTCACTTCCTTTCTGTCCCCAAATGATAGGAGCTTCTTCTGAGAAAAGGTAATGTGGAGAAAACTGCCCTAAAATTAGCTATATACAAGAGATGACATAAAATATCAGCGCAAAGAAAGAAATAATAGGAGACCAAGGGGAAGCATGTCAGGGTCGGTGTTCTGGAGCATTTCTCTGCCTTTTTCATAAAGAAAGGCAGAAACTGTCAGTCCGCTAATAATGGTTTTTAGAAGATTTCAGTGTTCCAGGAATGGTGCTGAGGGACATTTGCAAATTCTGCCTTCACTAGCTGAAGAGTTGCTTTTTCCACAGGCTTTACACACGTTCCACTGGTGAAGACAGCCTGTGTCTCCAGTTCGGTCTATTTAAGAGCATCTGTGCTCATTATTGGCCCAGTCCCTCTGTTCATTTCCTTAGCCATTAACCTAGCTACATGTCCTTTCTCATTAAATCTCTCATCAAAACATTTGTTGGTGCTCTGGGGGAAATATAAAGTTTGGTCGGGCCTCAATTATCCACATAAAGGCTCTGTGTTGTACATTGCCCTTTTATTCCTCCTCCATTAAATCAAAGGGTGAGGGAGGAAGAGTGTATGATATAATACTGGAAAGATGTGTTGGAGTCAGATTACGGAAAGCCCCAAATGTTGTACTAAGGAATTTTGTACTTTATGAAGGATAGCAATGGGAAGCTATGGGAGGTGTTTGAGCAGTAGAGTATAATATTTTAATTATACTTAGAGAAAATACTTAGAATACATTAAAAGAAGGGAGGATGAAGCCAGAAAAATATTTAGGTTATTTTAATCAGTGAAGCAGTGATGTGATAACTCTATTGGAGATGGAGAGAAAATGGCAGGTGAAAGGGATTTCAGAAGAAGAGGTTGAGAGAGTCAGAGATTCTGCCAAATCTTCAAAATGAAGGATGAGGAGGATTGGGGTGACATCCTTAGAAATGAAGGATGAGGAGGATTGTGGTGACAACACAGAAGAAAGATCATAGGCATGTGGAGGTTTTACAAGCCAGTGGATCAGTCAGGTGAGACTAGAGGGGGAAGGCATTGTGAATGAGGGTGAGAGACTCCATAGGAAAGCTCAGTGAGGTCGAGGGAGGGTGAAAGAGCCAAGGAGAAAATATAGAGGAGAGCAGAGGGTGGAGGAGGGAATAGAAACTTCACCATTAGAGCAGGTGAAGGTGAGTGTGGAGAGGACAAGGTCAAAGAAAGAAAGGAGTTCAAGAAGGAGGAGAGTTCAGCAGTCTCAAAGATGGCTGAGAGATCAAGAAGTATGAGTGTGAAGAAAAGGCCACTGGATTTACCCCCCAGAGAGTAAGGGTACAGTCTTGACTAGCTGGACAGATAGTCCAGTTTTCAATTTTCCATGTTGCTGCTCCTCTCTCTAGCATGAAAAATTGCAAGTTGACTCTAAGACACATCCAACACTGCTGCATATCATTATGGTCTCTTCCCTTTTGTTTTTAGCCTATTGTCTTGCCTGTCCAATGGGCATTGTAAAACCTATGTCTGAGAACCACACCAACTCTCAAGCTCTGTGAGATGCTGGGAACCTGGTATCTAGATGACACGAAGTGTGCGTTGCAAAATTAACTCATTTTCCACATATAATCCATGGTTGTTATAATTCCAGCCCTATAGAGCAGTGAGTAAAATATTTCTTTTCAAAACAAGACTTTGATTTCTAGAAAATACTCTTTATTTTAAATGTGCAGGCCCTTTTCTAGGAGTAAATCGGAAGTGGCCTTTACCTCAAATAAGGGGAGTAGACTCTTTTCATCCATCTTAATCTGCAGTAAGTATCATTGTCCATCATGCCATCGCTGTCTGCTTTATTACCTAAGTGGAAACATGCACCTAAAAACACAGAAGGGCAGCCTGCAGCCTTTGTGTTGTGGAATTCAGAAGTCACGTGGCCTCTCACAAAGAAAATGGCCACCATTTGCCCAGCTTGTATTAGAGCCAGCTCTGTGGCTCTATTTTGTGATTGGCATAATACTTCACTCTAGGTGAGTAGATTGCCAAGTGCCAATGTGATGTGTTTTATTATCAGAAGTAGATTTACTATGAGGCTGCAATGAGGGTTAAGCTTGCATGGGCCCTTTCCATGTCACATATTATAAAATTTGCAGAAGTGAACTATTTTCACAAGATCAACTATAGTCCACCATGACTTTGAGACCCCACCCAACCCAACCCTAATCACACTTTCCCACCTGTCTATTGGTGTTGGGGCCGTGGGCATTTTTGGAATCCAGCCAAGAGAAACTTTATTTGAGAATCATTTAGTTTGAGATATCACTTCCAAGTTATTGCTAACTGTTCTGGTAAAAGAATGGCCTCAAAAAATCCTCCCATCACCCACTCTTGTGCCAACTCCCCTAACAACACAACAGAAAGCCAGACCAGAGGTTGTACGGCATTGTGGACCCATCTTGGAGAACCTGGTTCTAGAAGCATGCAGGTGGTACCAGGCCTGTCTGTAAAACAAATCTTGTGGCTCATACTAGGAGAAAGAAACTTGACAGTGGCTTTCCCAAACTTAACTACAATCCTAAAAGCTTACATGACATGAAAAATAATGAATTGTGATGCTGAAACAAATTTTTCTAATCTGTCAATGGTAAAAAAAAAAAAAAGAAAGAAGAAAGAAAGAAAGAAGAAAGAAAGAAAAAGAAAGAAAGAAGAAAAGAAAGAAAGAAAGAGAAAGAAAGAAAAAATTTTAATTAGCATGCTAAAAAGAAAGACTGAATTATCTTTCCAGGGTATTGAAAAAGATATTACAAAGTAGTCATCATATGAAGTAGTAGTCAAAAAATATGTAGAAAAAAAGTAAGACAAGTCATAGAAGTAAGTCCATCAGTTCATAAAAACATACTATTTATATTACTTTTCTGTATTTTATTATGCTGATAGGGCCAGCTCTATGAGTGTGCAACCTATGCAGTTGCAGGGCTCCACACTTAGAAGGGACCTGAGCTTGGTTTAATGTTCTGCTGAAATTCTTAATACTTTTTGAACAAGGGGACCCACAGTTTTCATTTTACACTGGGCCCTGGTGTGGTGGCTTAAGCCTGTAACCCCAGCCCTTTGGGAGGCTGAGGTGGGCAGATCACCTAAGGTCAGAATTTCGAGACCAGCCTGTCCAACATGACAAAATCCCATCTCTAATAAAAATACAAAAATTAGCCAGGCATGGTGGTGTGTGCCTGTAATCCCAGCTACTGAGGAGGCTGAGACAGGAGAATCACTTGAACCCTGGGAGGCAGAGCTTGCAGTGAGCTGAGATCGCACCACTGCACTCCAGCCCGGGCAACAGAGGGAGACTCTGTCTCAAAACAAAACACAAAAACAAAAACAAAACAAAACAAAAAAAACAGGAAAGAATTAGTACACTCATTGAGATGAGAAATGACAAATCCCAGATGAAGAGTTATTTCTCAGCTTTTTAGTATGTGTGTTTCCTTGTGATTTCTCATTCTGAATAACTGTATACTTTCATACCTAATATTGATTTCATAAATGGGTCTTCCTTTTCTTAAAGAAAGCCCCTGAAATTATATAAGCTTCATGCCCCACAAAACCTCCACCATGGTAAGTGTCCTTCAGGCTTTAGTTATCCAGAGCTGAGTAACAGCTGGCAAATTACTCAGACTGAATTCTTTCCCTTCTGTCCAACTTGTAATCATTTCTCAGCTTTTTTAGCTTTTACTTTCAGCAGAGGAAGGAGCAGGAGGCAGGAAAAACACAACTCGGCCAATTCTTGTCATTTGTTAAGAGCTCCAGAAATCAAATAGAAAGTGGAGGAGTTGAAGAGAAAGGATTTTGGTATTGTTTGCAACTTTCTTTTGAGAAGGCTAACCCTGTACCTTCATTTCCAACCTTCATGACTGCAGGGTGGTGTGTGTGCTTGTCTAATAATACCCTTATATTTTTCTTGGCAACGGCTCACGTTTCAAGTGGTGGGAGGACATTGCTCAGTCATGAATTTCCCTTGCTCTGTTTCTTCCCTCCACTGCAAGCTTGTTATGGTCGGGAAGCTGGAGACAGTAGCCCGCTCATTAATTTGGCTTTAGAAAGGGGCGGGTTTGGGTGAGCAGAGCCAAAGCTTAGATGTGTGTGACATTTCTCATGCACATCTTTCTCTCCACCTTCGGGAGTGACAGCCCCTAAATTCAATCTCACTTGAGTAGAGCTCTTTCCTATTTTAAGGCTGAATTCACATAAATTTTTCACTTTTATTAGAAGACAAACTTGTTTTCTTACACTGGTAATATTCTAAAGATAGTCATTCCTTTGGATAATGTTATGAATCATTTCTTAGTAGGTGGGTCTTTACCCATATTAACCATAGTTACTATATACAAAGTAAAAGAATATTTGAAACAATGAATAAACTGACTAATTTTCTTCAAGAAATCAATTACTGATAAATTCTAAGGAATTTGGCAGGAAGCTAGCCAGCAGTATAGGGAGTTTTTTCAATATATTAATTTTCATTTTTTTAGATGAGGTTTGAAATTAGATTCAGATTGCAAATTACAGCTTTGTATGGGCTCCCCACTGCTAGCTAGTGAAATCTTCTGGCTTCTGGGGATGAAGCAATTTGGCTTCCCATAATGGGACTGCAAGAACCTTATTTCCCACTGGTAGAATAATATGTCCACAGCCTGAAATGCAGGAATTCAACAATTGCTCTTTGACTGGGTCACCAGTAGGGACACGTTTAACTCTCTCTCACTCTCTCTCTTTCACACACACACACACACACACACACACACACACACACACACAAAGGCATGGAAAAATAGCGATCTGACTGTATATTTCAAATTCATTCTGAAACCTGCCCTCCAAGTCATCTTACTCAGCCTTCGGATATGGTTCACAAATTTGTATTTTCCTTTCTGTGAAAAGAACTAACCTTCGGGTGGTTTCTGGGCATGTGATGTATAAACAGTTGGCACCTCTCATACCCGGGCTACACAGTGGTGGATGCTTTCACAAGTTCTTTCTCCAGGCAGAAAAGGAAGTTTCTTTCAGTTGAGACGTCTGAAATATATCACAGATTACTTGATGACAAAGCACATGATGATTAATTGCTATGCATGCACCTTATAGGGGCTTCAGGAGTGGCCTAAAAGCTGGCTAACAGTACACACAGCTTCCATCTTTACAAGTTAAATATATACAAATGGACTGGCTGTCTTCATACTCAGTCAGGACTTTCTCTTTCTCTCTGGGGGATATTTCCCTAAAGGAGACTGTTGATTCAGTCATAGCACCTAGTTTTCAAATATATCTCCCACCTCAGAGTTTCTTGGAACTTCCTGCAGTTTCAATTAATTTTCTGCTTCTTCTGGTTACTTGGAGGTTGGGAGGAGAGGGGCGCAGAGAAAGAGAACAGATTTCATAACAGTTTGTCAAAATTATTTTGCCTCATGTGGTTTTCTGTTGCCCTTTCTGCTGTGTCTTTGAGTGTTTGGAAGCAATTTATGTTGCACTGAGACTGTTTTTCTTTCAGAAGTTCCTGCATTTGAAATTCAAATCTCAACTGTCAGCAGGCTGCTTGCTCCAAAGGCGCCTTTTCATAAGGCCCTTAGCAGGGTTCCTTATGGCATATTCCTCAAACAAGAAGCGTTCTTACTCCAAAAGCCCAGAAGATTCCCATTCTAGCTGGTGGGAAGAGAGAAGTATAAAACAGTAGGCTAATCCTTCTTGCTTTCATTTGGCAGGTACTACTGAGAGCTCTTTGCCTCCAATTCAGGTCATATAATCCCTGGCTTCACACACCTCTCATGGTTCTGTTCACTGGCTTGTCTTGTACACTCCTGTGCCTGTGTTGGCAGTGTTTGGCTAGAATGAGGACTCAGGGTTAGTAATCACCCAGGAAAACTCTCTCAATCTCTTTTTCTGTCTCTTTTGGCATCACTTTCCTTTTGACATAAGGTTCACAGTGCTTTCAAAGAATAAATAATATAAGATTTCTAAATCTTAAGTAATCACAACTTTATTCAAACTTACAACCTATGTTACCATATTTGTAATAGTTTCATGAACTATTCAACTTTGTTTAATACTAGGATTTTCCTTTCTACATTTGCTCATCCAAAAGGACCTTATTTGCTCCATTCCTCAAACAAGGTGGCCTGGGGAAGAGACATGGGGAGGGCCATATGGCAGTGGGCACAAAGTGTGAAGACTTTTGTGTCACATGTTAACACACACTAGAGATCATCCACCACAGAAGCGGCAGGAAATAGCCTAGGAGGTGAACAGATCCAGCTAGCTAGCTGCCATTAACCAGACTTTTTCATCGGCCACCCCAGAATGGCATGAATGGAGAGGTCACAGTGGTCAAACTGATAGAAAGATGTGCACCCAAGAGCATAGACTTCTATTTACCAAAGCCAATCTGGCTATTGCTGCCTCTGAATGTCTAACCTGCTAGGAAGAGAGACCAATATTGAGCCCCCAATATGGTTTATTCCTCAGAGACCAACTGACCACTGGGTGGCAAGTTGCTACCGGGGACCCCTTCTATCCTGGAAGGGCTGGCATTCACTCTCCCAGGGCTGGAAACCTATCCCCTGTATGGTTTTCCTTCACCTGTCCTCAAAACCTCATCCAGCACCACTATCTGGGGCCTAATTCATAGGCTTGAGATCCACACAGACTAGTATCTAACCGGGGCAAGCTTAAGGGAAATGTGGAGGGAAGCTATTACCACCCCGAGGAAAGAGTGAATCTGGAGTCTAGTGAGAATGGTAACTATGAAAGCACATGGAGGGGCACAGCCTCTGTTGGACCAAAGCAGGGAAGACTGGCAGAAAAAAAAAAATCTGAAACTTTTTATCCACCTTCCCTTCAATTTCGTGGTTCTTCCTCCCAGCCACCCGCCTCACCCCCATTGCCTGAATCCAACCTGGTGATGATATCCCAAAGTCTTCACCTTCTGGGAAATAGAGCAAGGCACAGAACAGAAAATGGATCTGGAAAGAGGATAAATGGAGGCTACTGCACACTCTGTCACTTCCCTCACCATGAGATATGGGGGATTGTGCCCCTGACCACTTGTTATATCACACAGTGTTCATGCAGAAGCAGCCAGCCTCATAGAGTTTGGGAATGGCTTTGTGAGGGCACGCTGAAGTGCCAGCTCAGAGACAGCACTCCGAAAGATAGGGTGCCATCCTTCTTGATACACTGTACACATTAAATTAGAAATTTCAAAATGGCACTCTCACCACAGCAAGAATACCTGGGTTTAGGAATGGAAGGGTTCTTCTCCCTGTTCCACTGTACTGTGGATGCACATGTGCAATAGCCCCAAAGCAAGGGTGGGATTACCAAGGGTTTTGACCCTGCAGCAGTGAAGGTTTGAATCACACCTTCCAAAGGCAAACCACCACAACCTGCTGAGGGGACAGCTGAGGGTGATGGGAATTTAGAGTAGAGAGTGGAGGACGGGGAGGAAGAGGAACGCATGTGGCCCTGAGACCAACTACAGTGGCAGGGACTTAGTTTGTTCTTAATAGAGTAACCTGCCTGTCTTAGTCTGCTCAGGCTGCTATAACAACAAACAGACAAACAAACAAACAAAACATCAACTGAGTGACTTATAAACAACAGAAATTTATTTCTCACAGTTCTGGAAGCTGAGAAGGCCAAAGTCAAGCTCTCACCAGATTCAGTATCTGGTGAAGATTCATTGCCTGATTCACAGGTGGCGCCTTCTAGCTGTGTTCTCAGTGGTGGAAGGGGCAAGGCAGCTCTCTCGGGCTTCTTTTATAAGGACACTAACCCCATTAGGAGGTGGGGCCTTTAGGAGGTGATTAGGTCATGAGGGCTTTGCCCTGCCAAAGGCCCACCCCCTAATACCACACTGGGGGTTAGGTTTCAACATACGAACATTCCGACCATAGCACTGCCTCTTTTAAGTTTCTCCTCAGAGAGGCCCACTGGAATCATTGAGGTTCTATTCCCAAACCTGGATGGAAAAAGTACATCTGTTCAGTACAAGGGGTGGATGTTATTGGCCATGAAAAGGAGCTTCCCAGATGTGCTGCAGCAAAGAGCACAGTGAGTTGACAGCCCCAGGGGCTGCCACACTCCTGCCTGGGCCCCATGTGCCTCAGCCTGCTGCTCCCTGCTAATGGTGGAGCATAGTAGGTGAACTACAGCAGGCTCTGCCTGTGAGACTCAGCACTCTTCTAATGGGCTCAGGGATTCCCTGCTGGCCTGGCCAGATCTTTCCCAGAACTGCTCCTCTGTGTGAGATTCTCGCTACCCAGTCCAGGGCTTCCTCTTCTTCACAGGGCTCTGACCTGCATCACAAGCTGAGGCTGTGTCTCAGAGGAACCACACAGGCAGTGGCGTTCCTAATGGCAGGACTAGCTTTTTAGCTCAATGATTTGTGGTTGGTTCAAGTCCTTCAAGAAGCAGCTGCTAAGATAAGACCCATTTATTGGGGGGCCCACATGTGAAGAATAAAGGGGGAGATCCAGAGAAGGCGATCCAGTGTTCACTTGACTGATGGCCACCAAAAAGATAAGTCCATATCCCAGAACCTGGGAATGTGGCCATATCTGGGGGGAAAAAAAAGAGTCTTTGCAGAAGTAACAAAGTTAGGGATCTTCAGATGACATCATCCAACATTATCCAGATGAGCCATAAATCCAATGATAATGACTTATAATGGAAAGACAGAGAAAGCTTTGGGGCAGAGATTGGAGTGATGCAAGCCAAGGAATTCTTTGAGCCATCAGAAGCTGGATGCAGTAAGGAAAAATTCTCCCACGAGCCTCTAGAGGAAGCACAGCCTTGCTGACACCTTGATTTAAACTGGCCTCCAAAACTGTGAGGGAATAAATTTCTGTTGCTTGAAGCCACCAACTGTGTGGTAATTTGTTACAGCTGCCCTGGCAAATTAATACTGGTAGGAAGAGCCTTCAGATCATAATGGAGGTCAGACCTTATAATGAGCAGGGAGGAAGGATGGAGTAGAAAGAATCAGAGACTGCAGTGCGGTTCCAAGGAAGGCTTTGCTAAGCCAATGAGGAGTACTCAAACCTGTTAAAGAAGTCTCTCCTTTGTCCTCCACAGGCTTTCCACCAATGAACCAAGACACAATATTGAGCAGAACAAGCCAGCCAGAAGAGAAAGCATGAGATTGTATTTCATCCATCCACAGTTCAAAAACAGGCAAACATGCCTCTTCTGTTTAGGAATGTCCACAGAAGTGGTACCACTACAAAAAAGAGCAAGATAGTGATGATCATGAAAGTCATGCTAGCAGTTACTCCTGGGTTATTTCTGGGAGGAGAGGAGCTGCAACATCAGGAGGGGGACAGGGAGCCCCTAGGAACTGGCAGAGTCCTATTTCTTCAAACCATGTTGTCATTACATGTGTGTTCACTTTATAGTAACTTTTAAACCATATTTACATTTTGATCCATTCTTCAATATTTGTAACATATTTCACAATTTAATAAAATAATAATAAGTTTAAGAGATTTAGGTCACAGGACACACAATGACAATTCACAAAATAAAAGGAATATAAGTGGCCAAAAAACTTGAGAAAAGAAGTTCAACTTCACTAGTAAGTTAAAAAATGCAAATAATTAAAGCGGGAGTTACAAGTTTTTACTTATCCATTGAAAAAGATGCAAAAAAAAAACCCCACAGTTAGTGATGCAAGGAAATGGGTAAGTTTGTACAATCCATGAAGTGGGTGGATATACACTGGCCCAGTTTTTCTATGTAGCAATATATATCAAAGCAGAACATACATCCTTATGAGCAAAAGGCCACATATACAAATATATTTTAAGATACTTTTTATTATTTTAATTATTAAATAATGTTAATGTTTTAATTGTTATTATTTATATATTCTTTATAATTATTTAAAGATAGTATTTAGACAAATATAAAAGATATTTAAGATGCGTATCAAGTCTTACATTTATAATAATTGGTATGCTATACATCCATATCTATTCAATCATTGCAAATTATCATGTGCAAAAGCCTTATTTATTCACAAGGAAAGATGAAATAAGGCAAAAGCCTCATTTATTCACAATAGGTTAAGAGAAAAAAAGTAGGTCAGAAAGCAATATGTAAAGTAAAATGATACATTAGTAAAAATATATGTGTGTGATGGGCAACTTGAAGTCAGGTCACTCACTGGATCCCTTGCAGACATTCCTCAGCACCAGCCCAGAGTCTGGTAGCCCCACTGGGTGGCTAGACCCAGAAGAGCAATAACAGACACTGCAGTCTGGCTATCAGGAAGTCTCCCTTGTAGGGGAAGGGAGAAATCACCACATCAAGGGAACACCCATGAAACAAAAGAATCTGAACGGCAGGCCCTGAGTCCCAGATCTTTCTGCTGGTGGGAAGTTTCTTACAGCAGAGACCCAATTGCAGTGTTGGGTGCAGTAGAGAAAGTCTTCACCTCTACTCCAACAGGTAGACAGCCTCTGTGATCATGAAGGGTCTTGGATAAAGGGTCCTTGTTTCCCCAGTACATCACTGCAGATGCAGCTGGGGCTTCTCCCATGGGAATATAGCATGTATGCACCTATAGACAGCCTTCTTGGAATAATTCAGGATGATTGAAGCCCCACAGGAGGAGTACTCTTCAGATTCAGGCTTGCACAAGAGGCAAAGTCACAGTTCCTCCCTACTTGGAACATCAACATTCCTACAGATGAAAAGATATGCCTGTCTGATCTGAATAGCCAGAACAGTGGGACAGGAGTAAAGCACAGAGGTAGATAGCTTTCCTGCTGGCCTGGCAGGAGATTTGAGGTGGCTTCCACCCTTCACCCTGATAAATCATCAGCACATCTAATTGAGAGCTTCCCCAGCCATCTTCATCAAGGCTGGGACCTCTGCCCACCATTGAGTATTACATCTACCCAACTGCTTTAGCTACAACTGGTGCCAAACTAGGGATACCTCCCTACTGGCCTGAAACCTGAAGTATCTACTCAGTAAATAAAATACTGGAGAAAAACTGAATAAATAAATAAAGTGTACACCACAGGAGAATGAGATAAGCTTCAATAGATCCCTGTTATTCCGACCCTATAGGAGACAGTAAACTTGCCCACACACCAAATGCACAACTACTTCAACCAGCATCTGGGAAAGTCAGCGCACAAAGATTCTTTGTAACTAAGGAACTCATATAGTCTTCACCCCTACAAGCACCAACAATCAAATTCAGCTATTATAAACTATAAACATTAAAGTCAGATCCTTAAGAGGGAAACAAATTTTTAAACACAGTCAAATCAAAAATAAATTCAAGAACATTTTGAAGAAATAGTTTATCCAATTGAGGAGACACCAGAAAAGTTAATACTGGTAATATGACAAAACAGGGTTCTATAACACTCCCAAAAGATCACACTAGCTCCCCAGCAATGGATCCAAACCAAGATGAAATCTTTGAAATACCAGATAAAGAATTCAGAAGGTTGATTATCAAGCTACTCAAAGAGATACCAGAGAAAGGTGAAAAACAACATAAAGAAAAATTTTTTAATCCAGGACATGAATGAAAATTTTTCCAGAGAGATACATATCATAAAGAAAAACCAATCAGAACTTCTGGAAATGAAAGACACACTTAGGGAATGCAGTGGAAAGTTTCAACAATAGGCTAGAACAAGTAGAAGAAGCAATTTCAGAGTTCAAAAACAAGACTATTAAATTAACCCAATCTGACAAAGATATAAAGAAAAAAAAGAAATGAACAAAGTTTCCAAGAAATATGGGATTATGTAAAATGGCCAGACCTAAGGATAACTGGTGTTCCAGACAGAGAAGAGAAGTCTAAAGGTTTGGAAAACTTATTTGAGGAAATAATTGAGGAAAACATCCCTGGCCTTGCTAGATATCTAGATATTCAAATACAAGAAGTAAAAAGAACTCCTGGGAAATTCATTGCAAAAAGATCATCACCAAGGCACATAGTCATCAGACTATCTAAAGTCCACATGAAGGAAATAATTTTAAGAGCTGTGAGACAAAAGAATCAGGTAACTTATAAAGGAAAACTCATCAGACTAACAGCAGATTTCTCAGCAGAAACCTTATAAGCCAGAACGGACTGGGGTCCTATCTTTAGCTTCCTTAAACAAAGTAACTGTCAGCCAAGAATTTTGTATCCAGCAAAACTAAGCTTCATAAATGAAAAAGAGACAAAGTCTTTTTCAGACAAAAAAAGGCTGAATGAATTGTCATTACCAAACTAGAACTACAAGAAAAGCTAAAAAGGAGTCCTAAATCTTGAAGCAAAAGTTCAATATGCACTAAAATAAAGCCTCCTTAAAGCATAAATCTCACAGGGCCTATAAAACAATAATACAATTTTTTGAAAAATCTAGGTAACAACTAATATGATGAATGAATGGTACTCCACATCTCAACATTAACATTGCATGTTAATGGCCTAAAAGTTCCACTTACAAGATACAGAATGGCAGAATGCATAAAAGCCACCAACCAAATATCTGCTGTCTTCAAGAGACTGCCCTAATACGTAAGGACTCACATAAATTTAAGGCAAAAGAGTGAAAAGTATACTCCAAGCAAATGGAAACCAAAAGTGAATAGGAGTAACTATTCTTATATCAGACAAAACTGACTTTAAAGCAATAAGAGTTAAAAAACAAAAAGACAAAGTAGGACATTATATAATGATAAAAGAATTAGTCCAACGAGAAGATATTATAATCCTAAATGTGTATGCACCTAACACTGGAGCTCCCAGATTTATAAAACAATTACTACTAGACCTAAGAAATGATATAGACAGCAACAAAATAATAGTAGGAGACTTCAATACTCATCTAACAGCACTGTACAGATCATCAAGACAGAAAGTCAACACAGAAACAATGGACTGAAACTATACCCTAGAATAAATGGACTTAACACACATTTATAGAACATTCTTCCCAACAACTGCAGAATATACATTCTTCTTGTCAGCACATAGAACATTCTCCAAGACAGACCATATGATAGGCCACAAAACAAGTTCAACAAATTTAAGAAAATAAAAATTATATCAAGTATCTTCTCAGACAACAATAGACTAAAACTGAAAGTCAACCCCAAAAGGAACCCTCAAAAGTATACAAATACATGAAAATTAAACAAAATGCTCTTGAATTATTTTTAGGTTAACAATGAAATCAAGATGGAAATTTAAAAATTCTTTGAAATGAATGATAATACTGACACAACTGATCAAAACCTCTGGGATACAGCAAAAGCAGTGTTAAGAGGAAACTACATAGCATTAAATGCCTACATCAAAAAATCTGAAAAAGCACAAATAGACAACCTAATTTCACACCTCAAGAAAGTAGAGAAACAAGAACAAACCAAACCCAAACCAGCAGAAGAAAATAAATAACAAAGATCAGAACTAAATAAAATTGAAACACACAAGAAAACCAATACAAAAGATAAATGAAACAAAATCTGATTCTTTGAAAAGAAAAACCAAAATGATAGACCCTTAGTGAGATTTAACCAAGAAAACAAGAGAGAAGATTCAAATAAGCTCAATGAGAAATGAAACTGGAGATATTACAGCCAGTACCACAGAAATATAAAAGATCATTTGAGGCTATTATGAACAACTTTACGCACACAAAACTAGAAAATTTAGAGGAAATTCCCAGAAATATACAACCATCCTAGATTAATAAATTCCCAGAAATATACAACCATCCTAGATTAAATCAGAAAGAAACAGAAACTCTGAACAGACCAATAACAAACAGTGAGATTGAATCAATAATTTTAAAAAAGTGCCAACCAAAAAAATGTCCACAACCAGATGGATGCACAGCTGAATTCTACCACACATTCAAAGAAGAATTGGTACCAATCCTATGGAAACTATTCCAAAAGATAAAAAGGAGTCCTCCCTGAATCATTCTATGAAACCAGTAACACCCTAATAAAAACCAGGAAAGGACATAATGAAAAAACAAACTACATTCCAATATCCCTGATGAACATAGATGCAAAAATCCTCAACAAAATACTAGCTAACCAAATCCAACAGCATATCAAAAAGATAATACATCATGATCAAGTGAGTTTCATCCTAGGGATGCAGGGATGCTTTAACATATGTAAGTCAACTACATCGCATAAACAGAATTAAAAACAAAAACCATATGATCATCTCAATAGACACAGAGAAAGCATTTGACGAAATCCAGCATCCCTTTATAATAAAAACCCTCAACAAAATAAGGGTAGAAGGATTTACCTCAAAGTAATAAAAGTCATATATGACAAACCCACAGCCAACATCATACTGAATGGGGAAAAGTTGAAAGCATTTCTTCTGAGAACTGGAACAAGAAAAGGATGCCCACGTTCACCACTTCTATTCAACATAGTACTGGATGTCCTAGCCAGAGCAATCAGACAAGAGAAAGAAATAAAGGGCTTCCAAATTGGAAAAGAGGAAGTCAAAATCTTACTGTTCTCAGACAAGAGAAAGAAATAAAGGGCTACCAAATTGGAAAAGAGGAAGTCAAAATCTTACTGTTCACTGACGATATGATTGTATACCTAGAAAACTCTGAAGACTCATCCAAAAAGCTCCTAGATCTGATAAATGAATTTAGTAGTTTCAGGATACAAAATCAATGTACACAAATCCATAGTACTGCTATATGCCAACAATGATGAAGCTGAGAATCAAATCAAGAACTAAATCCCTCTTACAACAACTGCAAAAAATAAAATAAAATATTTACAAATATACTTAACCAAGGAGATGAAGGCTCTCTACTAGGAAATCTACAAAACCCTCCTGACATAAATCACAGATGACACAAACAAATGGAAACGCATTCCATGCTTATGGATGAGAAGAATCAATATTGTAAAAATGACCATACTGTCAAAGCAATCTATAGATTTAATGCAATTCTCATCAAAATACTACCATTATTCTTACAGAACTAGAAAAAAAATCCTAAAATTCATACGGAATCAAAAAAGAGCCCACATAGCCAAACAATACTAAGCAAAAAGAACAAATCTGGAAGCATCACATTACCCAACTTCAAATTATACTACAAGGCTATTGTTACCTAGTACTATATTCTCCAGGATAGACCATATGATAAGCCACAAAACAAGCCTCAATAAATTTAAGAAAATTGAAATTATATCAAGTATCTTCTCAAGTTACCCAACTTCAAATTATACTACAAGACTATAGTTACCTAGTACTATAAAATCAGGCAGTGAGTACCATCATATTACCTGACTTCGATTACACTACAAAGCTGTAGTACTAATACCATATAGTATGGCATGGTGCTGGTATAAAAATAGGCACACAGGACAATGGAACAGAATAGAGAACTCGGAAATAAAGCAAATACTTATAGCCAACTGATTTCAACAAAGCGTACAGAAGATAAAGCGGGAAAAGGGCACCCTATTCAATAAATGGTGCTGGGAAAACTGGCAAGCCACCTATAAGAGAATAAAACTGGATCCGCATCCCTGACATCATACAAAAAATTAACTCAAGATGGATCAAAGACTTAAATCTAAGACCTGAAATCATAAAAATCTTAGAAGCTAACATCAGAAAAACTCTTCTGGACATTGGCTTAGGCAATGAATTCACTACTGAGACCCCAAAAGCAAATGCAACAAAAATAAAAATTAATTGGATCTAATTAAACTAAAAAAAAACCTCTGCACAGTAAATAACAATAATCAGCAGAGTAAATAGACAACCCACAGAGTGGGAGAAAATATTCCCAAGCTATGCATTCAATAAAGGACTAATGTCCAGAATCTACAAGGAACTCAAACAAATCAGCATCAGAAAAAAACAACCCCATCAAAAAGTGAGCAAGGGACATGAGTAGAAATTTCTCCAAAGAAGATACACAAATAGCCAACAAACACATGAAAAAATGCTCAACATCACTAATCATCAAGGACATGTAAATTAAAACAACAATGAGATACCACCTTACTCCTGCAAGAATGGCCACAAATAAAAAGTCAAAAAACAATAGATGTTGGCATAGATGTGGTAAAAAGGGAACAGTTTTACATTGCTGGTGGAAGTGTAAATTAGTACAAACACTATGGAAAACAGTAGGGAAATTCCTTAAAGAACTAAAAGTAGAACTACCATTTGATCCAGCAATCCCACTACTGGGTATCTACCCAAAGGAAAAGAAATCGTTATATGAAAAAGACACATGCACATGCATGTTTATAGCAGCACAATTCGCAATTGCAAAGATGTGGAACCAACCTAAGTGCTCATCAACCAACGAGTGGATAAAGAAAGTGTGGTATTTATACACCATGGAATACTACTCAGCCATAAAAAGGAATGAAATAATGTCTTTTACAGCAACTTGGATGAAGCTGCAGGCCATTATTCTAAATGAAGTAACTCAGGAATGGAAACCCAAATATTATATGTTCTCACTTACAAGTGGGAACTAAGCTATGAGGACACAAAGGCATAAGAATGATTTAATGGACTTTGGGGACTCTGAGGGGACAGTTGGGAGAGGGTGAGGAATAAAAGAGTACCTATTGGGTACAGTGTACACTGCTCAGGTGACAGATGCACTAAAATGTCAGAAATCACCACAAAAGAACTCATCTATGTAACCAAAAACCCACCTTACCCCAAAAAGATTGAAATTTTAAAAATCACCAATTAAAAAATGCACACATATGCTCACA